>NC_000011.10:106263333-106566364 GCF_000001405.40 Homo sapiens | reverse complement strand
TGCTTAGAACCAAAATTATACCAAGTAATTTATTCCTCTAACATTTATCTTCTGCATAGCTGACAGAATACTCACCTTAAAATATATGTCTGGCTATAAAGTCTTACAGGATCTTGCCTTGCATTCCTTCTCTGATCTTATCTCCTTCTCTTCATCTCACCCCTTCTGCTCTGTCCTTACAGCTCCCCTGGATTTCCTTGGCTTGCTAGATGTTCTCTTGTCTTAGGCCATTTGTGGTGACTGGAGAAAATTCATTTCTGGAGTGTTCTTCCAGTAGGTACTTGCCAGGTTCACTTCCTCATCTCTTTCAAATCTCTGCTCAAACATCACCTTCTCAGTGATGTCTACACCAACCACTCTGTTAAGATTTTAGCACACAATCAAGCTTAATTTCTTTTCCATAGCACGCATTACCTCTAACAAGTTGAATACATTTTCTTATTTATTATGCTTAAATAATAAATAAAAAAATGTATTTTCTCATGAGTCTGCTCCCAATATAATGTAAATTCCACAATAAACTTTTTTACCATCTTTTTCACCAAGGTATTCACTGCATGAAGAATAATATTTGGAATGTAATTGTTTCTCAATAACTATAGGTTGTAGGGAGTTAATAAATTAATTCCTATATGGAAAATCCTTAATAGTTGCTTATAAACTATAGAACATTAATGTTAAGATTGTTAGCAGATCATACCAGGTCTTTCTTAAAGACATCCATGCTGATCTCTTCTACCTCACCCTTTGTCAACACTTCCTTGTTCTTTAAAGTTGTATCACACTACTCATCACTCACCCCCACCTCATGGTTCCACCTCATGGCTGGAGTTCCACATTCTGTTGTTGGCTTACTAGCAGGTGTCCTCTAATACCTGATCCTCGAAGCTCCTTATAACTGGCTTTCTTATCAGTTACGGTTTCACTTACTATAATTGTGATGTAGAACTGAACTCCATGGTTATTTTTATTTTCCTCACTTATTTTTTTCATTGATATAATACATATTTATCAAACATAAACTTAGTATAACTCAGCCAGGTGCTGTTGATACAGAGATAAATAAACCAGTCTAGTTTCAAGAGCTGCTTTAAAGCATTTAAAGCCTCCTCAAAGCTTTTAGAATAAGATCCAAATCCTTGGCCCAACAGAAAAGGCACTTTGCATTCTCAGTCTGCCCTCCTTCCTCCTTTCTCTTCCAGTTCATTAGTGGATACCAGGTGTCCACTGTGCTCCCGTGATTCTAAGGTACTTCTTCCTTATTGTCTCATAGCTCTGTATTTTTACTAGTATTATTCCAGTTCAAATTTTTCTTTTCATTAAAAGCAATCTAACCAACTTTGAGCTCCAGTTAAAGGGTTGTAAGCATGATGGTGGTGAGGAGAGCGGTAATATTGTAAGATGCCAGGCCTAACAGGAAACAGAAAGCTTCCTTCAAGAGCTATACCTGCTGCTGTCTCAGTGTCTTTTCCAGACATTTCTTTCTGCTTCCCTCTCTTCTTCCCCTGACAGCTTTCTCTGCTTACTTATGGTTTCTGATCCTACAGCATGTTGCCTCTATACAACATTGACTCAATATTTTTCTTTCTAGTCTACTTCAGCCCCAGCATGAAGTGACTTAGCAGAGCAGCAAGCCATCGCCATAGGCATAATATCTTTTTGAGTACAATATTTTTGTTCATATTCTTGAAAAATGATCTCACTGACTCAGCCCTACCTATTGATAGGTTCACTGTGGGTCAGGGCAGGTATGGCAATAGGGAGGGAATCAGATGTTCTGGGAGTTTTAGTTTTAGGTGAGGTGGGTTAAATGAGAAATAAAACTCTGGTATACTTGGTAAATGTGAGTAAATTGCATCCTCAGTATTTAAACCTGTCTCCTCCTTTTGGCTTATTGAAAAGAACATACATATCTATTGGGAGTTAGACGTAGACCCAGATCTCAGTTCTACCACTTCTTTCCATGGTAACCTTGACTGACTTATTGAAGCTTCTGTTTTCCCAAATGCAAAATGTGGATAATAACTGTATCATACAAGGTTATTGTGAAGATTAAAAGAGAAAAGCTCATAAAGTGCTTTGTAGAGGGTCTGACACATGGTAGGCTACCCCAAATGTTAAATTTCTCTTTCTTTTTACCCATAAATTTCAATTTAAGTAGCATTTTATCTTGTAACATTTCTGAAATTACTTTCCAATACTACACAGAATTGTAAGTCACTCCTTTGTGTTATTACCTACTTTTTATTATTTATTATCTTAATTTATTAAATTAATTCATTAAATAACAATTTACTGAATTATTATTATAATTTCTATGGTTTTCTCCTTGACCATATGGAAAGAAATTTGAATCCAGGGACTTTCTCTATTTATCTGAGTATCCCCATTGCTAACACATTGTTTAGCATATAGTAGGAATTCGATAAATACTTTTAAAATAAATGCATATATAAATAACTGAGAGGCAGTGAACTCAAGCCAATCACTCTGCAGAGTAATGCCATTGGACATAAATGAGGCTAACAAACCCCTTCCATCCGCTTTTAAATAAAGCAGCTTGAAAGACCAGGCTAGATTTTTTTTATTTGTTTGAAAATATGCTTCTTCCAAATGTAAGCCCAGGAGTAAAGCGTCTAAGAGGAAAGCTCCTTAGGCTGTGAATAAAAAATGATAACTTGAAATCATGGACCATGCCACATTTCAACTTAAGATAAAACGCCCAGTTAGACTTTCTGTACTCATGGGGGAGGAAATTTTTAAAAACATGGAGGCTCTAACAGTGTGAACTTCATCTTTTTATATTTCAAAAATCCTGTAATCCTCCATAGGTTTTAGGTTTTTTTTACAAAAGTTTTTACTGTATTCTTATTCTATATAAAAGCTGCTAGTGTGCTTAAGACAGATAAATCAGTGCATTTTCCTGATTGGAAATCCTAAAATGAAGAGCAATTATTACCATATACCAGGGTTTCTCAACCAGCACTATAGACTTTTAGGGCTGGATAATTCTTTGTTGCAGGGGATGTTTAGCAGCATCTTTGGCCTCTCCTCGCCAAATGCCAGTAGCACATCCACCCCCACCCCCAGTTGCAACAACCAAAAATGTCTCCAGACATTGCCAATTGTCTCCTGGGGGCAAAACTGTCCCCACTTGAGAATGATTGCCATATATCTTTAATAGACATTATTTTTAAAACTCTTGACCTTTCTCTCAGTCTACTAACTCATATTTTTTTGTGTAAAATATGTCTTAAGATGGTATCTAGTCTCTTTGATGACTTTCTAGGGATAGAGCACCTCTATCACCTCAAACCAATGACAATCTAACATAATACTTGCCATATTATTGAAGGATATGTAAGTTATCAGGAATTTTGACAGGAATAGAGTTTGACAATGTGATTGGAAGGGTGCATGCAGCCACAACCTTCAAGGAATAAGAGAGATTTATGTAGGGGCAGAAGATTGCTAAAACAAGGAAGGTGTGTCGATGGTATTGTTTAATGACATGAGAGTCAAAGCTGGTATGATGTAAGAAAATGCAGGAAAATGATGCGGATGAGGCAATGAGGAATCTTCACCTCCAGGTTTAAAGGTAAGAGAGGTATGGGAGAGAAAGCCAATGTGGGAATAATCCTCAGAGGAGAGACAGCTTTAAGTTACAGAGGGAGTACAGTGAAAGATTCGGAAGATGGGTAAACGTGGAAGATGGTGTCAGAAAAATAAATATACAGAGCTATATGGAAATTACAGTCTGAAGGAATAGGGATGACTGGGGAAGTCTGGGCTTCATGTGGTAACATATAAATAGGAATTAAAGAGTACTTTATAAACAACAGAAATTTATTTCTCACAGCTTTGGAGGCTGAGAAGTCCAAGATCAAGGCACCAATATTTGGTGTCTGGTGTGGCTTCTTGCTGAGTCCTCTCATGGCAGAAGAGATGAAAAAGCAAAAGGGATAAAAAGGGAAAATGAGACAAATGTTGTATCGTCATATGGGAGAAGGATGGGAGGGGAAATTGGCAAGTTAGTTTCCTCAAACTGTTTTACAAGGGCTTCTGTTAGGCCATTCTTCTGTTGCTATAAAGACATACCTGAGGCTAGGTAATTTATAAAGAAAAGTTTCATTGGCTCAAGGTTCTGCAGACTGTACAAGCATGGCACCAACATCAGCTCAGTTTCTGGTGAGGGACTCAGGTAGCTTACAATCATGGCAGAAGGCATTATGGGAGCAGGCACATCACATGGTGAGAATGGGAGCAAGAGAGAGAGAGAGGAGGTACCACACACTTTGAAATAACTACATCTTGCATGAACTCACTCATCACCAAGGGAATGGTACTAAGCCATTCATGAGGAATATGCCCCATGATCCATCCAATTACCTCTCACCAGGCCCCACCTCCAATACTGGGGATTACATTTCAATATGAGATTTGGAGGAGACACACAACCAAATAATATCAGGCACGAATCCCATTTATGAGGGTCCTACTCTCATGACTTAATCACCCCCTAAAGGCCTTACCTCTTAATACTGTTGCATTAACCTAAGTTCCAGCATATGAATTTTGTGGGGACACATACATTTAAACCACTGCGTAAGAGAAGAGGCAATTTATAGAATCCCTACTGATATCTATGGACACCATTCATATTATTATAATTGCAGCTTCTTGACCACTTTTCTTCCAATAACATTTTCCTTCACCCCAACTCAGCCACTCCCACCCATGGGCACATCCTATTACTATATAACTAACAATAATTAAAACCTCTCTATTGGCTGAATTTCAAGCATCATATTTTTTAACTCCACTTCCTATCTAGCTCATTTCCTGTAGCTAATTCCAACAATTATTCAAACAATTGGGTAACATAAATTTGTCTTATCAATGTTTCACTTTCCCTTACCCCCTGAAGTCTTCTTTTCCCTCTAGACTTTGATCTAATGTCATGGCCAGTCATAATCACACCTTCTTTACATTCTCCACTTCCTTGCCCCTTTCTTATTTTGCTGTATTCACTTTTCTAAGCCAAAAGTCGAATCCAAATAACAACCTATTTGATAAATGCCCACTATATTTTTCTAGTTCATTTGTTCTCCCTCTCTCTTAGATAGCTATTTAACACTCTTCTCTCAAATGCCAACATTTTTCCCCATTGCCATGCTCAGCTGATGACCTTCCCTCCAATTTTACTATAAAAATAGTAAAAATAGTCAAGAGAGAACTTCCAGACATTCCCACCACCACGTTTTTACCCCTGCCTATATTGTTGCCCAAGAATCTGCCACTCCTTCTCTTTCTATGGATATAACATCAGTGATCCTAGTAACCCTACACTTCAGCACTAAATCACACTTCTTCTCCTCAAGGATACTGCCCTAGCAAATACTCTTTTGTTAGTACAGCATTAGTTTTGTCCATCACTATTGGATCTTTCTTGTAAGTCAAGAAACAAGCTACTGCTTTTATCTTTTTTTTTAATCCTCTTTTGCTATCACTTCTTTCATCTGGTGCTCCATTTCTTCCCTTCTCTCTACAGAAAAATCTCTTGAAAAAGTTGTCTATGCTTTCCCCAATTTTCCTACTCTTATTCGATCCTAAATCCATTCTAATCTCTTATAAAACGTCATAAAACTTCTCTCATTAAGGTCACTGATGAATTCTATAGTGCTAAATGCAAGGGTAAATTCTCTTGTAAATAATAATTGTACTTGATCTAGATGCAGTGTTTGAGGCAGTTGGTTATTATCTGCTCCTTCTTTCTGAAACACTTTGCTGGTTTTTCTTCTATCCTCTAGCTTTTCCTTTTCAGTCTCTTTAACTGGTTCCTTCTATTTCACATCTTGTTATTGTAAGAATATGTCAGGGCTTAGTGCTTAGACCTCTTTTCTTTCCAATTTATGCCCATTTTCTTGGTAACCTAATCCAGAATCATGGCTCTAGATGCAAACTATACAATGGTTATTCTCAAGTTTACATTGCTCACATTAACTGCAGACTCATGTAACCTTCTGTCTACTCAAGATCAAATTTACATGACCAAAAATTGTTTTCTTTTTCTATCTTGGCAAATGACAACTCCATTCTTCTAGTCATTCAAGAGTCATCCTTGAACCCTCCCTTTCTCTAATGCGCCATATCAAATGTATCAGCATATCCAGAATCATTCCTCACCAACACCACCACTAACTTTTTAGTTCAAACCATCACGATATCTCACTGCAATATTGCAATAGCATCCTGACTGGTTTCCTTTGTCTTATCATCTGCCACCAATATTCTATTCTCAATATAAAATCCAACGATCTTGTTCAAACCTAAATCAGATTACATCTCTCCTCTGCTCCAACCCTCCCAATAGATTTCATACTGACTGTTAGAAAAAGCCTAAATTCTTAGTAAGTACTGAAAAGCATACACAATGTACTTCTTCTCTAGACCGATTTTATTCTGTGCTCTCATCTCCTACTATTCGCTAATTCAGAAGTCCCCAGATATTTTGGAACCGAGGATGGGTGGAGGGTTGGGGGGGATCATTTCAGGATGATGCAAGCACATTACATTTACCATTAGATTCTCATAAGGAGCACACAACCTAGATCCCTCACATGCACAGTTCACTATAGGGTTTGCTCTCCTAAGAGAATCTAATGCTGCAGCTGATCTGATAGGAGGCTGAGCTCAGGTGGTAATGCTTGCTGGCCTGCTACTCACCTCCTACTGTGTGGCCCTGTTTCTAACAGGCCATGGACTGGTACTGGTCTGAAGCCTGGGAGGTGGGAACCCCTGCTCTAAGTTACTCATCTCCAACCAAGTAAGTCCCCTGCTGTCCTCTAAATATGCCAGTTAAGCACCTTCACACTTACTATTCCTTCTGAGTGTTCATTGCTTCCACGGATCACTACATGGCTTTCTCCCTTGCCTTCTCTAGGCTATTTACATCACCTAAGGCCATCCTTGACTTTACTAACTCAAACTGCCTCCCTCCTCAAAATAATCCTCATTTGTTTCCTTTGCTTTAATTTTTCCTTATCACATATTACAATGCAGCATTCTATAAATTTATTTATTTGACTAGTTTATTATTTATTTCTGTCTTCTAGAATGCTAAGTGAACACTGGCTCATAACAATACACTTTTCTTAGGTTTAGTTTGGGTTAATATTTTTATCGGTAATAGAAAGTGATCTGAAAAGTTAAGCTGTTATTGCTGGCAAAACCAAGGAAGAAGAACCCACTTATGATGCCAAGGTTTTAAATTTGCCATCAGACTTACAAATTCTACTTAAAAATACCATGTGGATGTCATCATCATGGAAGGCTTATTTCATAAGTGATTTATGCTGTCACCTTCCTAACAGTATGGCAAAGTTAAATGCAGGAAGAAATCATGTAGGAAGAGATAAATTTGGAAATGTATGTTAATAATAAAGATGTATTTTTAGCTAACATTTTAAATAAAGCAAAATAGAAACAGAAAGAAACAGGAAAAGAAGGCAAGCAATATGCTTTATCTGGGCCTTACACAAATAAAACAAGTTGTAGATTTTGAAAAGCTATAGAAGCAGTAGGGCCTGGAAGCAGTTTGCACTGATTAAAATAATTGTCTTAATTACTTAAAAACAAATAGAAAATAGCTGAAAGCCAGGAATGAACATCAACTGGAAGAATTACCAGTTCAGACACAGGCTCTTTTTATGTGTACAAATAGATAAAATTTATATATATAATCCTATGTAACAAATATAAAAGGAGGCTAAAATTTAATGTCTTATTATTTTTATACGTCTCATGATTTATATTATAAAATATACTATGGGTGCTATGAAAGAGATAGTTCAAGAAGTCAAGTGAATGTGCTGCACTTAAAAGAAACATTAACAGCAAACTATTATATTATTATGATAAGGAATGAGATAATTGAGAAAAAGAATATAGCAAGAGAAGAATAGTGATCCAAAGACCAAGTCTTCTAACGTTAAAAGCTTCAGAGGTGTGGAAAAACTGATAAAGAAGAAAAAACAAAATTAACCCAAAATGATAAGAAAAAGCCTGTGGGGTAATTTCTGTTCAGAAAAGACGTTTTTGTTTGCTTTTGTTTTTTCTTGAAGAGATCAGTGATCAAGTGTATGAAATACTGTTGTTAGTTCATGGAAGATGAGGATGAAAAACTTAGATTTAGCAAAACAAAGATGTTTGTAATCTTGATAACAGCAGTTTGGGTAAAGCTGTAGAGGTTGAGAGCCAGATTAGAGTAAAACTCCAGAGAGGATCTTGGACAGATATTGGAGAAAGTAATGAGTTTGGCCTCGTGAGGAAGGTGAGAAATGCACTGGTACATAAAAAAAGAAGTTATTGTCAAGAGTTTTGTTTTTTTGTTAAGATGGGGGTAATAAAAGCAAGCCTGTAAGCTGATGAAAAAGACACAGGAGGAATAAAACAAAGAAAAGAAAAATCTCGATGCAGGAGATTAAAAGGAGACTGTCTGGGTCAATGTTGATGAATAGAAAGAAGGGGATATGCAAATAGGGGTGTCTGGAGGTTTTTTTAGGTCACTGAAAGATCATTAACAGTAATACAAAAGAAGCCAGAATATCTGGATATAGAAATAGGCAGGTTAATAGATGTGGTAATAGAAATTTGTGGATGCTTTTGAAATGGTTTTCTTAATTTTTCCTCCAAGAAGATATTTGTCCTTCTTAAGAAACTGTTTAGTACCACCTTTGTAATTTTATAATGATGCATCCTGTCTTATTTATATGTCTTTATATGTGATTTTGTATGTTGCATACGAATTTGGAAATACCTTCTATAAGGGAACATTTCCAATCAATCTTTTTTTCTCTCTCCTTTTAGTTACTGGAATTATATAATTTAAAACACAGACTTCAATCTTTTGAATTACACTGAATTTAAAATATAACTAAGTAACATTCACACTCTTCTCCACCTTTAATATATACTAAATGGGGACCATATCTTTGGGGAGGCAAGCATTCTTCTCTTAAGGCAGATGACAGAGGAGACAAATGGTCTATTCATTAGCTGGCTTAAGATAAACTGAATCTAAGGAGATAAAAAAATCAAATTCCAAAATGATTGATTTGCTTCTGGCCAAGATGGGAGTACCCAGACTGGCCTTACCCTCCCAGATGAAATAACTAAATGAACTGAACAAACTATATGAAACAATGTCTTTCAAGACTTTGGCTCTCAGGCAACAAGAGATAGTTTTCCATGAGAGAGGCAAAACAAATGTGATGAATCCTGTAATTCACTCAGATTAATGTCTCAGAATAGTTTTTAGGCCTGACTGCAGAAAGGGTGAATTAAGGCAGACTACCACAGCTGAGGAGACAGAGCTGGGAGTCTGAATAAGGCAAAGCAACTAACTCACAGAGCAGAGTGCAAGAGATGAGAAGCTTGTAAAGAGAAATTACTCCGGAGACAGGCACAAGGTCCTCCTAATGTGTTCAGCTAAGAACTTAAAAGTAAAACCCTGTGAGGAAACTATCCAAGGCCAGGAAAAAAATTGCCCGATTGAATTAACTGAAAAGGACAATTAAACATTTCACGTGTTCAAGAAGTGAAAGGAAAGATTGAGCATGTTTACTAGAGATATAAAATATATTTTTAAAAGATGTAAATCAAACTTCTAGAGACAAAAACCATAATGTCTAAGATGAAAAATACATTGAATGAAATTAATGGTAGGTCAAACATTGTGGAAGAAACAATTAGCGTACTTAATGGCACAGCAATAGAAAATATCCATAGTAAAACACAAAGAGAAAAGAATGACTGAAGAAAAATGAAAAGGGAATTAGTGTGTTATGGGACAACTTAAAGCAGCCCAATATATATATAATAGTATTTATCAAAGGGAGCGAGAGGAGACATAAAATTATTTGCAGTATTTAAATAAAGCAAAATTTCAAATTTGAATACAACGTTAAACTCACAGATCCATGAAGCACAACCAACCTGAAACTTAAGAAACAAAGAAAACTACATCAAGTCACATTGTGTCTGGAATTGGTTCCTTCCGGTGGATTCTTGGTCTTGCTGACTTCAAGAATGAAGCCAGGGACCTTTGCAGTGACTGTTACCGTTCATAAAGATGGTGTGTCCAGAGTTTGTTCCTTCAGATGTTCACATGTGTCTGGAGTTTCTTCCTTCCAGTGGGTTCATGGTCTCGCTGACTTCAGGAGTGAAGCCACAGACATTCGCAGTGAGTGTTACAGCTCTCATAAGTGGCATGTCCAGAGTTGTTTGTTCCTCCTGGTGGGTTCGTGGTCTCGCTGATTCAGGAATGAAGCCACATACCCTCGTGGTGAGTGTTACAGCTCATAAAAGTAGTGCAGACCCAAAGAGTGGGCAGCAGCAAGAATTACTGTGAAGAACGAGAAAACAAAGCTTCCACAGCACAGAAAGGAACCCAAGTGAGTTGCCGCTGCTTACTCGGGTGGCCAGCTTTTATTACCTTATTTGGCCCCACCCACATCCTGCTGATTGGTCCATTTTACAGAGAGCTGATTGGTCCATTTTACAGAGAGCTGATTGGTCCATTTTACAGAGTGCTGATTGGTGTATTTACAATCCTTTAGCTAGACACAGAGCGCTGATTGGTGCGTTTTTACAGAGTGCTGATTGGTGCGTTTACAATCCTCCAGCTAGACAGAAAAGTTTTCCAAGTCCCCACTCGAAGGAAGTCCAGCTGGCTTCACCTCTCAACATCATTATAAAATTGCTTAAAACCAGTGATAAAGAATTTTAAAAGACCCCAGAGAAAAAAGGACCTGCTACAAATAGAGGAAAAAAAGAATGACAGCAGATTTCTTGTTAGAAACAATGCAAGCTAGAAGGCAGTAATACACATTTTTGAGATAAAGAAAATTTTTAAATGTCAACTTAGAATTTTCCAGTCAATGAAAATTTCTTCTGGGAGCAAGATGGTGGAATGGAAGCTTACACTGTTTGTCCCTCCCCCATCTTTGCTGGAACACCAAATTTTAATGACTATCTACATACAGACAAACACCATCACAAGAACCAAAAATCAGGTGAGCAATAACAGTACCTGGTTTTAACTTTATATTGCTGAGGGAGGCTTTGAGGAGAGCAGGAGAGACAGTCTTGAATCACTGATGCCACCCCTCCCCCATTCCCCGGCAGCAGACATAGGGCGCAGATATAGAGAATCTATGCACTTTGGGGAAGGAGAGCACAGTGACTAGGGAACTTTACACTGAACTCAGTGCTGCACTGTGACAATGGACAATAAAGCCTTGCTGTCTCAGCAAGAAATAATGCCAGTTCTATAAAAACTCTTCAGGCCAGGCACAGTGGCTCAGTCCTCTAATCCTAGCACTCCGGAGGCCGAGGCAGGAGGATTGCCTGAGCCCAGGAGTTTGAGAGCAGCCTGGGTAACATGGTGAAACCCCATCTCTACTAAAATACAAAAAATTAGCCAGGCATGGAGGCATGCACCTGTAGTGCCAGCTACTCAGGAGGCTGAGGCAGGAGAATTGCTTGAACCCAGGAGGTGTAGGTTGCAGTGAGCTGAGATCGAGCCACTGCACTCCAGCCTGGGTGACAGAGTGAGACTCTGTCTCAAAAGAGAAAAAAAAAAAAAAGCTCTTCCAATAAATTGAAGGAGAACTACTTTTCAACTTGATTCTGAAATTCATAGAACTGAAAATATGGAATGTGAATACAAAGGATCTAGAATAACCAAAACAACTTTGAATAAAAAACCAAGTTGAAGAAGTTACAGTATCTCAGCCTAAGATTTATTATTAAGCAGCAGTAATCAACAAAGTAAGGTGTTGGCACCGAGACAGACAAATAGATAAATGGAACAGAATAAACAGCCTAAAAATAGAACTTCAAATAAATGATCGATTTTTTTAATGTAGTTGCAAGGTAATTAAATGTATATTTATATAAAAAAGATCTTTGATCCCTACCTTCCAAAATGTATAATACTACTTCAAAATGGATTATAGTCCTAAATATAAAACCACAAATTAAAAACCTCTGGAAGCTGCTACAGGAGAAAATCTTTGTGGCCTTAGGCAAAGATTTCATATTTTCAATAACACCAAAATTATCCATAAAAGAAAAAACTTAAATAAAATTTAGTAAAAATTTAAAACTTCTGTTTTTCAAAGGATACTGTTAAGAAGATGAAAATATAAGAGACAGAAATAATGAAAATATTTGAAAATCATACACCTGATAAAGAACTTGTATCGCTGATATGAAAGAACTTTCAAAACTGGATATACAAATAACTCAATAAAAATGGACAAAATATTTGAACAGATATTTCACCAAATATGTTAATGGATAGCAAGTGGACACATGGAAAAATGCTCCACATCACTAGTTACTAAGGAAATGCAAATTAAAACCATAATGAGATACTATTACATGCCTATTAGAATGACTGAAATTAAAAAGTAACCATTACAAAAGTTGGTGAGGATGTGTAGGAGCTTGAGCTCTTTATACCACTGATGTGAATGTAAAATAGTCCAAACATTTTGGAAAACAATTGAAAGGTTCTGAAAATATTAAACACACACCTATTGTTACGGGATACTTGGAGTATTGCTTTTCTGGCCAGAGTCCTGTGGCTGGTGGTACCTTTGCCCAAATTTTGCTCAGGCCCACTGGGCTCATTTTGCCCACTTGGCCTGACAGGCTACACTTGGCTCATGCTACCAGCCTGGATTTCATGCCTGTCCAGAGCCTGGATCCTATGCCTATCAAGGGCAAGTCAGGCGTGGAGCAGCAAGGAGTGTGTGAGTGAGCGTGGGGTCTGGCCACTGTGCACAGTCAGACATGCTGGCTGCTGCAGCGGGTTGGACAGCTCCAGGTGCCATCCCGGACACTGGCTATCTGTGAGGCTGTGGCAGGATCAGGTACACAGCAAGCAGCTACCACGGCTAGCACTGGGGAATGCAGTGGCACCCCGAAGCTTGGAGAATGCAGTGGCACTCAGAAGTTTGGAGAATGCAGTGGCACCCAGAAGCTTGGAGATGCCAGGAACTTCAGGGCCCCAAAGAGTGATTCACAGCCCAGGCTCAGGGAGCTCCCAGGTCAGGGCTCCTCACAGGGCCACAGCTCTTCTCTCCCTCTCTTTTCCTGAAATGTGGTGAACAATGGGCATGTTTCACACCCTGTTTTTTATAGCTCTTTTAGCCTTGCCGTTCAACAGGTCTGAGTTCTTGTCCTGGGACCAGGAAGAACGAGGTATGCAGACAAGTGAAAAGTGAGCAAGAGGAAGAGGAGCTTTATTGAGCGATAGAACAGCTCAGAGGAGACCTGCAGGGGGCAGCTCTCTTTCCACAGCCAAGGTGTCCTGTGGAGTGTTTGGCTCCAAGCAGCGAGGGTAACTCCTCTTTGCAGGCAGATCATCCCAACAAGTGTTTAGCTCCTCTCCGCAGCTGGTCATCCTGAGGAGTGTTCAGTTCTCAGCAGAGACAGTAGTGCCTCTCTGCAGCTGGGTGTCCCATCATCTGTCCAGCTTTGGCTGAGCCCTGGGTTTTTATGGGCCTCAGGGAAGAGGAAGTGCAGGCTGACTGGTCCATGAGCGAGCCTAGAAAAGGCACCACAAGTTCCCACTTCAGTCTGTGGGACTGGCAGCCTGGACCCCAGCCTTCAGGCCCTCCCTGACCTGAAGGTGGGGCCTCACCCAGGACCTGTTCCCTTCTGCCCAGTAGCCTGTCTGCCTCCTGCCTCCATCCATGGCACTCATGCTGCTTGTGCCAAGGGGCACCTGTAGGCCAGCACCAAGTCGCCCTCAGACCCCCTCAGCTTCCTTCCTGCTTACTAGTGCCCAGAGTCCAGAGGGGTCCGAGGCAGCAGGAGGTTGTCATGCCAGTGCTGCCTCGAGTGTGCACACACTTCTGGGCTGTGACAGTAACCGGGCTTGGCCCCAACCCCACTTCAAGATCGGAGCAATGCAGGGAGTTGGGAGAGGTCAGGAAGCAGGAGCAGGAACCCCTCAGCTGGCAGGGGCAGGAGGGCCTTCCTGGCCCCGAGAGTGCAGAGACTCAGGGTTCCTGCACCTGGGAGGGAGGGGCTCCCTCCCCCTCCGTGGAGCAGCTCCTGCTGGGCCTCCTCACAGCCTGGGGCAGAGGCTCCAGGTCCTCACTGGGCACCCTCTCTGCCTGTCCCTCTGTTCCTGACTGTGCTGCTCCCCTGCCCTTGGCTCCCTCTGGCTCTGTGAAGTGCTGCACCCCCCTGGACCCAGCTTCACCTCCTCCCCATGCCCTCCCTGCAGAAGCCATGGAGGAGGGGAATAACGGAGTGCCAGGGTCCATAGCCATGGAAGCTCCAGGCCTGGGGGCAGGTCCTGTCCAGCCACGTGTGGATAGTGACAGTGCATTCAACTGCGTTGGGGATGGGGCACAGGGGACCCACTGCCACCATTGCTGCACCTGCAGCTGCTGCCACCACTGCCCATGCCTCCCTGCTGCAGCCTCCTTGCTGCAGCCAGCTGACGGCAGCGGCCACTCCGGATGGCCTGTTGCTGCCATCACTATCATATGATATAGCCATACCAGTCTTAGGTATTTATCCAAAAGAAATGAAAGCTCATGTGCTCAAACAAAAAGACGTTCATAACAACTTTTTTTTAATAGCCCCAAACTGGAATAACCCAAATGTCCATCATGAGGTGAATGGATAAAGAAATTGTGGTATAAAATGAAATATTACTTAGCAGTAACAAGGAATGAACTATTGATACACAAAAAACAATATTGTTTTCCAAAATAATTTTGCCACATGAAAGTAGATAGAAAAGACAGAATACATACTTTCTTATTCCATTATATAAAATTCAAGAAAGTGCAAACTAATTTATAGTGACAACAAGCAGGTCGGTGGTTAGCTGCTAATTAAATAATAGATTGTGGCAGGTAGGAGGGATTACAAAATATCATGAGGAACTTTTTGGTGGTGAGGGATATGTTCATTATTTTTATTTTGATGAGGACTTCATGGGTGTATATGCATCTCAAAATTTAGCAAATTATATACTTGAAGTGTATATAGTATACTGTATGCCAATTGCATCTCAACAAAGCTATTAAAAGAAATTAACATAAAATCCCAACAGCGCACTATATATCTTCTCATGCAAACACACACACATTCTACATCCATACCTAAATAAAATTATAGAGAGGAAAAATAAGAAGCTTGCATCACCTATTCTATTACTCAACACATGTTCATTATTCACCTACAATGGACTAAAAACTATGCTGTACATTTAAGGTAAAAATATGAATTGGACATAAGCGTGCTTACAGTCACATTGCTGCCTTTGTAACTATTTGTCTTAAGGGTTACTTTAACCACAAATTCACTGAGGATAGGAACTATCTGAGAGCAGGGGCCATCACAACCTACTTTATTGTTCTAGCCCAAGGTTTCCTAACCTTGACACTATTGATATTTTGAGCTGAATACTTATTTGCTGTGTGGGGCTGTCTTATGCAATGTAGGATGTTTAGTAGCATCCTTGGCTTCTACAGACTAGATGCTAGCAGCCCCCCTTACCTCCAAATTGAGACAACTAACACTGTGTCCAGGCATTGCTAAGTCCCCCCTCAGAAGGCAAAATTGCTCCCACTTGAAAACCACTGCTATAGCTAAAGTTCATAGCACAATGATGGGTACATGTCAGATGTTGAATATACATTTTTTGTGCAGATAAAAATATATCATTTGTACAAAAATATTGAGCACATGTCATGAATAAGTATGCAATGTAGTTTGTTCCCGATCATGCATTTTTGCTTAACACGATCCTGTTCAATGGCATACAAGAACCTAGGGCAGGTCACATTTTATGCATTTTTATGTGTGAATATTTCTTTGGGAAAAGACTCCCCTTTTTTTCTGAGGCCCTCTAATCTTTCTATCAATAGAAGAGTCTGAATGAGCTAAACTATTTTTTTCCATTGCTGTGGGGTCATAGTTCTTCCTTCACTAAGAGTTTATTGAGTTTATTTCATCTTTCAGATGGTAAATAAAGCCAGCTCAGAGTGTCCACAGTCTGGAGATAACAATATGAAAAGAACAAGCTCACATTAACTTTCTTAACTTGCTTTTCTGTTTTTAGTTATTCTAGCTAAGCTGAGAAGACCACTTGAAAGGATTTCTCACCTTCTTAACAGGCAGTTTAAATTCCTCAGAAGAAAGGACAGAGAATGTACAATTTTGGTTTTGGCTAAAAAAGGGTAGGTTTAAATCTGAGGGTAGGCAAAGAAGAGGGCTTCTACCTGGAATCATTTTGTGAGTAGTGGGAAATTTTGCCCAATTAAAAGTGTTTCCTTTCTTTCTCCTCAATTCAATTACAATATAATCAAATCTTACTTTTTGAAAGCTCACTTTGAACCAGACACTGAATAAGGTTCCAGATCATAGGCATAAATAAGAGAATGACAGTTTCTGTTCTCAGACAAGCTACAAGCAAGTCTGAAAAGCAAATTTTGCATCTGGATGTACAAAAGAAAAAATATGAGACAGCATGGGAGAATGTAGCAGGGGAATTTTGACTCCTTGGGGTTCAGGGAGGCCTTCTTCAGAAGGTGATGTTTAAGCTAAAACATGATGATAGAGTAGGATTTAACCAGGTTTGGATAAAGTCAGCATGTGCACAGGCTAAAACGCTAAGCTTTATGCTTAAGGCGTCTATAGTTTTTTTTCTTATACAGGCATACTTTACATATAATGAATTGCTTATATATAAAGTTTACACAATTTGGCATTTCGACAGATGTATACACCTGTAAAACTATTCCCATAAAAACAGAAAAACTGTCACCATAATGAAGGTAGTGAACATATTAATCAACCCCAAATTTTTTCTCATATCCCCTTGTCATTCTTCCCTTCTGTGCTATCATACTCCTTCCCATACTAAAACAATCACTGAACATCTTTGTCACAATAGATTAGTGTGCACTTTTTAACATTTTATATAAATGAAAAAATATATATGCCCTCATTTGTCTGGCTTCTTTTATTCAGCATGTTCATTTTCAGTTCACCCATGTTGCTATATGTATCAATTGCTTATTCCCTTTTATGGCTAAATAGTAAGGTTGAGTATGCTTTATTCAAAATGCTTGGAATCACAAGTATTTCAGATTTTTGATTTTTTTTTCAGATTTTGAAATATTGGCATTCTATTTACTAGCTGAGCATCTCTAATCCAAAAATCCAAATGCTACAATGAACATGTTTTAAAGCATCATATCAGTACGCAAAAAGTTTTGAATTTTGGAACATTTTAGATTTTGGAATTTTGAATTTGGGATGCTCAACATGTATTTCATTTAATGAAGACATAGCACTTTCTTTAACCATTGACTTCTTGATAGACATTTGATTTGTTTCCAGTTTTGGGCTGTTATAAATAAAGCTTCAGTGAACATTCATGTTTAAAATATCTGTATGAACATATGATTTTCTCTTAGATGAGTACCTTTGACTATGCATTTTCCATTTGCATTGTTATAAAGGAACACCTGAGGCTGGGTAATTTATAGAGAAAAGAGATTTATTTGGCTCACAGTTCTGCAGGCTGTACTAACATGGCACCAGCATCTGTATGGCTGCTGATGAGGCCCAAGACGCTTTACTTATGGCAAAAAGTGAAGAGAAGCAGGCCTGTCACATGGTTAGAGATAGAGCAAAGAGAAAGGAGGATGTGCCAGAAGCCTTTTAAACAACCAGCTCTTTTGTGAACTACCAGAGCATTAGTGTGGAATAATAGAGCAAGAACTAATAGAACTAATGAGCAAGAACTCATTTATCACTAAAAGGATGGCGCTAAGCCATTCATGAAGGATTCACTCCCATAATCCAAACACCTTCCTCTAGGGCCACCTCCAGTATTGGAGATCACATTTCAACATGAGATTTGGAGGGGAAAAAAACATCCAAACTCTATTGGACTAAAACAATATATTTCCACCATTAGTGTATGAGAATTCCAGTTCCTCCATATTCTTGTCAACACTTGGTAGAGCTAGTTGTCGTTTAGCCTTTCTAATAAACATGTTGTGATGTCACTGGAATTTTCTGTGATATCACTGGAATTTTCCTGATGATTAATGATGTTGAATGTTTTCGTGTGTGTCATCCATATATCTTCTTTGATGAAGTGTCTGTTCAAATATCTTGCCCAATTTTTATTTGTTGTTTATTTTCTTATTATTTAGGATTGTTTATTTTCTTATTATTTAGATTACAGAATTCTTTATATATTTTGGATACAAGTTTTTATCAGAAGTATAGTTTGCAAATATTTTCTCTCAGTCTTTGGCTTGCCTTTTCATTCTTTTATCAGTGTCTTTCAAAGAGCAGAGGTTTTAATATTAAAGTCCAATTTATCTTTTTGGACTTTTTGGTTTTAAGTATTACGCTTTCGTTGTTTGTCTAATCCAATGTCACAAAGAATGTTCTTTACTATGTTTTCCTTTACATGTTTTTAGTTTCAAGTTTTACATATAAATATATGATCCATTTTGAGTTTTTGATATAGTAAGAGGTATGGATTAAAGTTCTTTTTTTGCATGTGAATATTCAATAGCTACAACACCATTTGCTGAAAATAATATTCTTTCCCCACTGAGCTGCCTCTACACCTTTTCCAAAATTTAGCTGTCTGTCCCTATATGTAGGGTTCTATTTCAGGATGATCTGTTTAGTTCTATTGGTTGCTTTTTCAATTTTTATGCTGATGTCATACACTCTTTATAAATTTAGCTTTATATTAAAATTTTAAATTCAAGTATTGTTAGTCCTCTAATTTTCATCTTCATTTTCAAGTTTATTGTAGCTATTCTAGAGCCATTTGCATTTTTTATGAATTTTAAAATCACTTTGTCAATTCATCAAAAAGACTTCTGAGATTTTTATGGGACTGTGTTGAATATTTGAATTTTGGGAGAACTGACATCTTACCAATACTTGGTCTTCTGGCCCATGAACTTGGTATTTCTCTCCATTTGTTTATGTTTTCCTTGATTTTTTTAAACAATGTTTTGATTGTAGTTTTGTCAGATTTGTCAGATTCATCTCTAAGTATGTCATATTTTGTAAGATTTGTCCCTAAGCATATTATATTTTTGTGCTATTTTAAATGGAATGATTTTTTTTCAATTCTGGTTTGTTTCTTGAATATAGAAATATAATTGATATTTTTATATTGATTTTGTATTGTGCAACCTTGCTAAACATACATGCTAGTTACTATAGGAGCTACTTATCACAAACTCCAAAACTTTTTCTACATAAACTGTCATGTCTTCTGCAAATAAAGATTATTTCATATCTTATTTTTTAAACTTGATGTATGTTTTACTTCTTATTTTACTGGCTATTGCCACAAGTACAATGTTGAATAAGAGTGGTGAGAGTAGAAATCCCTACCTTGTCCTTCTTCTTTGGGAGAAATCAACCAGTGTGTCACTACTAAGTTGGGTGTTAACTTTAGGTTTTGTACATAATCTTTATTAAGTACAAGAACTTCCCTTCTATTATAGTTTTCTGAGAGGATTTTTTTAGGAATAGATGTTGGATATTGCCATTTTTTTCAGAATCCTTTGGAATAATCATACGTTCTTGTTAGTTTATTAATATCATTAATAACTTTAGTTATTATTGATCTCTTTATGAGATCAACATTACATTCATAGGATCAATCCATTTGGTCATATATATACATATATATATATATGAATTAGATTTGCTAAAACTTAGTTTGGAAATTTTGAATCTACATTTACAAGTGATGTTGGCCTATAGTTTTCTTTTCTTGTAATACATTTGTCTTGTTTTGAAATCATATATTCAATGGAGAGACTGATTTGAAAGTATTCCCTACTCTTCAATTTTATGGAAAATATTATACAGACTTTTTTTACTTCTTTTAAAAAGTTTTTAGATGTCACCAGTGAAACCATCTGAACTGTGCATGTGTGTATAATGTTTTAACTGCCATACATTTCTTTTATATAGGATGACTTAGGTTATCTGTTTCTTCTTGAGTTATATTTGCTAGCTTGTGTCCTTCAAGAAATGTGTACATTTCATCTAAATTGTCTACTTTTTGGTCTAAGATTTGTCATAGTATTCCTTATTATTATCCCTTCAATATCTGTAAAACCTATAGTGGATATGTGTCTCCTTCATGATACTGGTGATATACGCAATCTCTCTTTATTTGGTCTAACCAGTATGGATGAGTTTTACTAATTTCATAAATCTTTTTAAAGAACTAGCTTTTGATTGTATTGATTTTCTCTATTGTTTCTGTTTTCTATTTCACTGAATTACACTCTGACTTTTCTTCTTCTTACTTTGGGCTTCATCTGCTCTACTTTTTCTACTTATTTTAGGTGAAGTTGAAATTATTGATTTGAGATTTTCCTTTTCTATTATAGACATTTTGTGCCATAAAATTACTGCTTTAGCTGCAGCCAATAAATTTAGATATTTATTTCATTTTATTATGCTCAAAATATTTTCTGTTTTCCCCTTTGATTTTTTCTTTGGAGTTTCCAAATATTTGAGGTATTTTTCAGATATCTTTCCATTATTGATTTTTATCCCTCTTTTTGGTCAGAGAACATATTTGTTATGGCTTAAATTCTTTTACGTTTATTGATACTTGCTTTGTGACCCCACATAAGGTCTTAGTAAATATTGCATGTGCACATAAAAATAATGAATATCTTCACGTTTTTATTTTATGAATATCAATTACGCACAATTATCTGAGAGTGTTGTTAAAGTCTTCTGTATTTCTATGGATTTCTGATTTTGGTTATATCAACTAGTGAGAGAATGGTTTTGAAATCTCCACCTGAAATTGTGAAATTTTCTAATTTTTTGTCCTCGTGAGCAGTTGACTCTTTATCATTATGAAATGAACTTTAACTTTAGTAATAGTCTTTGCTCTGAAATCTACTTTGTTGTTAACATCATCACTCCAGCTTTATTTTGATTAGTTTCACCATGTTGTATCTTTTTTCATTATTTTACTTTTATCCTATTTATGTCTTTATGTTTAAAGTGACTTTCTTGCAGATAGCATTTAATTGGGCCTTGCTTTTTCATTTTTTTAATTTTTGAGACAGAGTCTTACTCTGTTGCCCAGGCTGGAGTACAGTGACGTGATCTCAGCTCACTGCAGCTTTGACCTCTGGGGCTGAAGTGATTCTCCCACTTCTGCCTCCCAAGTAGCTGGGACTACAGGTCCATGACACCATGTCCAGATAGTTGTTTTGATTTTTTTTTTTTTTTTTTTTTTGGTAGAGACATAATCCTGCTCTGTTGCCCAGGCTGGTCTCAAGCTACTGGACTCAAGCCATTCACCCACCTTGGCCTCCCAGAGTGCTGGGATTACAGCTGTGAGCCACCACACTCAGCTGGGCCTTGCTTTTTAAAATCCAGCTTGACAAATCTTTGCCTTTTAATTGGCATATTTTGACCATTTATAATTATTTGATTTTTAATATGATTAAGGTCAAATCTATCGTCTTGCTTTTCATTTTCTATTTGTTCCATCTCTTAACTATTTTTTCCTCTTTTCATTTCCTTTTTTGAATTGTTATTTATTATTTCATTTCATGTCCTTTTTTCTGGCTTATTAGCTATGACCCTACCTTGTTATATCAGTGGTCACATTCAAGTTTATATTAAACAGCTTCAACTTAGCATGGTCTATCTTTAAGTGATATTATATCATTTCACATATAGTCTAAAATCCTTATATTGGTATAATTTCACTTATCACTTCTTGGTTCTGTGCCAATATTTTCATCATTTTTCTTCCACGTAGTTATTAACTCAACCCTATATTGTTATTATTTTGTTTAAAAATTAATGATTGTTTAATGTAAGTTAAATAATAATAAGAGAAATCTTATGTATTTACCCAGGTAGTTACCATATTAATGCTTTTTGTTCTTATGTGTAGTTCCATCTGGTAGCATTTTCCTTCTGTCTGAACTTCCTTTAATATTTTTTGTAGGGTACTCTGCTGGTGATAAATTCTTTCAGCTTTTCTGTGTCTAAAAAAAATGACTTTTATTTGTTGTTGTTGTTGTTTTGAGATGGAGTCTCGCTCTGTCGCCCAGGCTGGAGTGCAGTGGTGCCATCTCGGCTCACTGCAACTTCCACCTCCTGGATTCAAGCGATTCTCCTCCCATCAGCCTCCTGAGTAGCTAGGATTACAGACATGCGCCACCATGCCTGGCTAATTTTTGTATTTTTAGTAGAGACGGGGTTTCACCATGTTGGCCAGGCTGGTCACGAACTCCTTACCTCAGGTGATACACCCACCTCGGCCTCCCAAAGTGCTAGGATTATAGGCGTAAGCCACTGTGCCTGGTCACAAAATGACTTTTTATACCTTAATTTTTGAGAAATATTTCATGTCTTGCTTTTAAGATTGGTTAAGTTAGTCAGAGTAATCTTTAGTCTAGTTGTAATTATTCCTCACTAAGTCAATTCCTCTGAGTGTTCTATGTAATGCCCTATGTAAAACTTCCAGAATAGAAGATTTTCTACTCTGCCAAGGACAAAATAAAATATTCCCACTGCTGTTTCCTCTAATCTTAACTTCTTCAGGTGATTCTTCCTTCAGCTTTGGAAGGAAGCTTTTAGAGTTTCGTCACATACACATGTTGATCAGTTCTTGCCTGAATTATTGAAAAGGATTTTTGGCAGATTTTAGCAATTCTTTTTCTGTGCAGCTGTCTCCTCTCCTATATCTTACTGTATGCCTAGAAATTCTCCATGCTGTGACTGGGCAATTTATTTCCTGTCTCTCAGGTGTCACTGCCTCTCATTGCTTGACATCTACCTTAAGAAAGCTATTATTTCATATATTTTTGTCAACACTCTTAGTTGTTTTAAGTGGGAGACAAGTCTAGTCTTGGTTATTCCATATTGGCTGGAAGCTGAAGTCTTAAAGATCTTAAGAATGAGAGTGCCATGATAGAATATGCATTTAAGAATATAATTCTCACTGTTATGTGCAAATTGATTGGAAATGGAGGGTTGCAGCTAAGAGATTATTTAAATAGTCCAGACAACGTGTTTTGGACAAGGATGATATCAGTGGGTTTGAACACAATTTGAGAAATATTTCAAAATTATAATTGATGAAATCTGATAGTTGAAGGTTTAAAGGCTGATAATATATGCCTCTGAGTTATTGGATGATGGTTATATGATAATCCAATGACTGAAACATCAGAAAGGGGCAAGCGTGGGGCTGCTCAAGTTTGATGGGGGAAATGACTTATTAAATTTCAGATTTGTTAATTTTGAAGTAGCTATCAGAGAGCCAACTACAGGCATTCAGTAAACAGTTGGCAATCTGTGTTTAAAGCTCAAAGAAAGGAAAAGGACATGTCAGTTGAAGATAAAAATATAAATGGATTCTTTAGCACTTAGAGCAGATGAAATCAAATGGGGAGAGTTGTATAGGCAGAAGAGAAGAAAGCCTGAGAATATAAGCATATAAGAGACAGAGAGAGGAGGAAGAAAGAAAAAGAGGAGTCTGGAATGTGCTATAAGGCAAGAACTATTTAGAATACCATTATTCAAAGGGAGTGGGAAAATGGCTCAGGGAAATAATTAATACAGTGATACTAATGTAAAGTTTTACTACTTCCTTTTGTATTCAAACAAATGTAAACAAATAATAAAAATTTGTAAAAAAAAAGTCTCAAATCTCATAAATAATCAAATACATGTTTAAACAATATTTTCACTGAATTAGTAAATATTTTGTAAAATATTGAGAGAAAAAGAAAATACATGTTAGAAATGGTATGATCATCATCACTGGCCATCAGAGAAATGCAAATCAAAACCACAATGAGATACCATCTCACACCAGTTAGAATGGCAATCATTAAAAAGTCAGGAAACAACAGGTGCTGGAGAGGATGTGGAGAAATAGGAACACTTTTACACTGTTGGTGGGACTGTAAACTAGTTCAACCACTGTGGAAGTCAGTGTGGCGATTCCTCAGGGATCTAGAACTAGAAATACCATTTGACCCAGCCATCCCATTACTGCATATATACCCAAAGGACTATAAATCATGCTGCTATAAAGACACATGCACACGTATGTTTATTGCGGCACTATTCACAATAGCAAAGACTTGGAACCAATCCAAATGTCCAACAATGATAGACTGGATTAAGAAAATGTGGCACATATACACCATGGAATACTATGCAGCCATAAAAATGATGAGTTCATGTCCTTTGTAGGGACATGGATGAAATTGGAAATCATCATTCTCAGTAAACTATTGCAAGGACAAAAAACCAAACACTGCATGTTCTCACTCATAGGTGGGAATTGAACAATGAGAACACATGGACACAGGAAGGGGAACATCACACTCTGGGGACTGTTGTGGGGTGGGGGGAGGGGGGAGGGATAGCATTAGGAGATATACCTAATGCTAAATGACGAGTTAATGGGTGCGGCACACCAGCATGGCACATGTATACGTATGTAACTAACCCACACATTGTGCACATGTACCCTAAAACTTAAAGTATAATAATAATAATAAAAAAAAGAAATTTGTCAATAAACAATAGTGTCTACCCAAAAAAAAAAAAAAGGTCAATGCACAGACATTTAAAATGTAGTTTGGTACAATGTTTGTAGAAAGCAATTTGATAATGCAATTTGACCCAATTATATGTATTTACTATATATTTATTATAATGCTATTCATTTCAGAAAAACTTAGCAACACCAGAAAACTTACACAAAAGGAAATAATAAGTTAATAATGCCATCTTCATATAAAAACATAATTTTTAATACTTATGATAATAAGGTTTTTAATAACAGGGACATAATTTTGATATGAGGTTAAGTGAAAATTTTAAGTACAATATATTTTCAAATATCTAAAAATACATTGTGAAAAGACTTTAGCTTCAAATACTTTGAGTAATTAATTGGATTATTAAGTTATTCTTTTTATTGAAATTATTAAATGAGATGGTTTTATTTTTTATTAGGTTATTCTTAAAAAATACTATGAATGAGTAAATTTGGGGTATCCACCATGTTAGGCAGTTAGAGTTCCACTTCTTTAAAACAGGAATAAAATTGTTGCGCAGTTTACCTAATTGAGTTAAAGGGGGTTTTATATTTGTCCGAGTGACTCCACAGGAGACCGTATTTTGCTGTAAAAGTCTACTACAAATATAACATTTTCAGTAAGAGCAAAAAACAGCTAAAGCCTTCTAGGAAAGGGTAAACCCTGATAGATCAATTTCTCTGGCTCTTAGATAAATTTTAGACATTAAATGTCACTCAGAACATTAGTAAGAAACTAAGAAACATATTCTTTTTAAAAATCCCTATTTTTTAAATATGCAAAGCTTCTGAAAAAGTAATTATTCACAAGGCTAATACACATATCAAATGACTGAGTTAAAATTGTGTATTTAATAGCTATAGTATAGACTCATATCAATTTTAAAGGTCAAATTATTCCTTCTGATCTTCATAACATATAGTGAAGTCTGTGTTTTAACACTTCACCTGACATATGCCAGCAAAATATGCACTCCTAAATATGTGCAAAAAGAATAATTATGTGTGCTGTTATGAAAGGAAACACTGAATTAAAATTCTGAGCTTTCATTCTAAAAAACATTTATTTTTAATTTTATACTAAACAAACTTTTATGCACATACTGTGTGCCAAGAACTGTTCTAGACTCTGGGATGTCAAGGGGAAAGTCAGAGTGCACAGACTGAAGGAGAAAGATATAAACAATTTAATGATAAGAATCTACCACAAAGGTACATACAGGGTATCCTAGGAACACAGAAGAGGGATATTTAATCAGAGCAGGAAGTAAGAGGAGGGTTGAGATCAGGAAAAGTATTTTAAGAGTTTAAGATATCTGAACTGAGTTTGTAAGGAGTAATAGGATTTAGCCTGGTAATAATGGAAAAGGGCAGCAGGCAGAGGAAACGGTCTGAGCAAAAGAAGCTAAAAAAATGAAATGAAATAAAATAGGATGGCATATTGGTCGTGCAGGTCATGACTTGCTTCATGGTTGTGAAACCTGTGCCGTCACATAAGTCCTGTGCTTAGAAGAACCCCACACTTAGTTAAATGCTTTCTTGTCGTCTTCTTAAAATTCTTAATAATATTTGAACATGGTGTCTGTAATTTCATTTTGCACTAGGCCCCACAAATTATGTGATCAGTCCTGGCTGGAACATAAATTAGCACGAGCAGTAGTGAGAAAGGTCCCAGGAGGCCAGCTTATGTCACAGCCTCAATGGCATGGTTTAGAGTTTGAGTTTTCCTCAAAGTCACAGCAGCCTCTAAAAAGAATTTAAGCTGAAGGTGTCAGTTGTGTATTTTGTAGCAAAAACATTGATTGTAGAATAGAGAATGAATCAAATGGGGACAAGTCTGGAGATAGAGAAACAATGGGAAGTTACTGCAGTAATTTGGAAATGAATTATTAGGATATGAACTCAGGAATGGCAATGAACATGAGAAGATATCAGGATTTCCAGAGACATTTAAGGTATAATGAAAGGACTTGGTGACCAACAGAATGAGTGAGAAGGAAGAGTTAGGAATTATTTTAGACCATACCATTTATTAAAACAGAATATTCATGAAGAGGCAGGCTTTGGGAGAAGGTAACTTCATTCATTTTTTCCGTATTCCAGCTTTCCATACAGTATATGAGTGAGGCAGCCCTACCTACATGATGTGATCTGGGAGGCTCTAAATGTTTTTCTTCTTCCAGTCTACCCCTAGAGGGGTAGATGACTGCTAGTGCCACTTTAATCACTATCCTTTGGGTTAAGGCATTGGAAAAGAGGGCTTCTGGAAAACTACAGACATATTACCTGGTGGTGATAATCATCAACCTTCAATTACTTGTAGAGAGGAGGGTCTTTATGTGGAGAGGAGTAGCAAGTATAATTGTGCTGTATCATAGCCAGGGTGGTCAGAGTTGGAGAGGGCATTTAAAAGAAAAGCACATCAAAAACTAGTTTTACCTCCTTATTTGCATAACAAGATAGGTCTTCATAGAATGGGTTTATAAAGAAAATGATGCAAAGGACCATTTTAATTTTTCTAAATTAATTACACAGTAGCCAAATGATGTTAATATGCAATACAAACAGAAACTTTGGCAGCTTTAGCATTCTTTTAGGACATTTGTATCTTGGTTTTGATTGTAACATAAAATCCTTAAGTATTTGGCTGCTCTGAAAAATACAGGATAAAGAATCACCAATTAACAAACCTTTATTTAGAGAATTAATAGGGGCACTCTGCAAAATATTCATAATTTATGTATTACAAATCCAGACTAACACACAGACATTCACACATATTCATCACAAACTTTTCCTTTGAGGGAGTTTCATGAACAAATTCTCAAGAAAGTAAAACAACAAGAAAAAGACAACAAGATAAGAAAAAGGAGAGGAAAAAAAACAAAGAAAAAACGTAAGATGAATCCCACAGATTCTAAAACTGAAAGTAGGAATTGAAAACAGACACAACAGAGATATCTAAAGGGAGTAAATTACCAAATAATAAATAAAAAGAAATTGCTAGAACCGAAGGGAAAGAGTTTCCAAGTTGAAAGTGCTCATCAAGTGTCTAGCAAAACGAATGAGAAAACGCACAAACAGCAACATATATTGTCAAGAAATTTGAGAACACTGTAGACAAAGAGAAGATTCTAAAATCTGAAACAGACAGAAATAAAGATGAGAGAGGATGAGAAAGGGAGGGAGAGAATAAGAGAGAAGGAACAAGATGGAGAAAGTGATTTGGGGAGAGAGACAGAATATATATGCAAAGTGTCTAGAATTTGAACGGCATCAAATTTATAATGGTAAAGATGGAAGCTAAATTAATATGGAGCAATGCTTTCAAACTTCTGAGGAAAAATGATTTTCAACATAAGATTGTACATGTAGCCCAAATAATCAAGAGGGAGGATAGAATAAACACATTTCAGTCATAAAAGTTCTCCAGATTTCACCACCCATCCTTTTTCACGTAGCACCTGGAGTGAACCAAGAGAGGAAAATATCAGAATACAGGAAAAGAGGGAGAGGGAATCCCCAAGAAGACTATAAATAGATGTCCAAGGTTAATTAGGTTTCTACAGTTCTAGGAAACAGCCAATCCATATTTTATTAGGAGAAAGAAAGGCTCCAGAAGGTTTGTTTCAAGGAAAAAAAAAAAAGATGAAATGGTTAGATTACTCAGCATGTTTAAACATATCAGGATGATTTATACCCATGATAGAGAATTTGTGGATATGTTAGTACCAAGTAATTAGAAAATAAAGCAATCAAAAATGAATCAATGATTAACTCCAAGAAAAAATAAAAGATTATACAAAAAGTAAATGTATATTATCTGGTTTACCTGTGAATAGTATTTACATGGATATAATGATGTACACATTGAGTAGTTATCAAGCTAAAACTTATAAAGATATAAACTATCTTGGAAGCATGGAGAAGGGAGGAAAGCCTGTGTAGTTGGAGGAAGCTACCATAGTGGGAGTTCAACAATTAGATGTGAAGCTGCAAAAAACAACAACAACCAAAACAAAAGCCGTAAAATGCAGTATAAATATTTTATTCAGCAATATGGATGTAAATATCAAAACAAGCAGCCAAATAATTGCAAGTGGTTGTCTCTGGGAAGATTATGCCTTTAAACTAATGGATAGAAATTAAAATTTTAAAATGGGGTGCTGTTGGGACAGTTCTAGATACGTTTACCATGCAGAGGGAACAGTATGAGCAGGGACAAGAAGTTTGATGGTAAATGGTATAATCAGTCACTGTCAAGTAATACAGTGTGGTCTAAATAAAGATCTGGAGAGGGAAAATAAGTAGTAAAACATAAGGCTGGAAATAGAGGTTGAGTGAGACAAGAACACGGACACATTTGAGTTCTCCGTGAAAGGGTTTGGACTTTAATTTCTGGCTTTAGTGTTTATTTCTCTCAAAATTGCCCATGCATCTGCCAGGAGAAACTCCAGAAACCATGTTTCTGCTAATTGATCCTGTAGCAGACTATTGAAAGGTGAACAGCTGACATATATATATATATATATATATATATATTTGTCAATTATTCTGTCTTAGGAATCCAGAATTTTAAATTCAGAAACACAGGGGTAGGAGTTATGTGTAACTGAGTCACATTACTTATAGTATTTAGAGGGAAGTTTTAAAAAGTAGCACTCATTATATTCCCGGAGAAGTTCTGATTTTTGTTTTTCCCAAAGTCTTAGTTGCTTGGCTGTGCTCTGAATTTTTTGAGATAGACATACTCCATTAATACATTCACGTTGTGCTTTAGCTCTCAAAATCTGTTTCTGTTATTTATATCTTAATGAATGCCCAGGCAATTGAGAACACTCATAAACTATTCTCCCTCACAATACAACATAAATATATTTTTTTAAATTTTACTTTAATTTCCAGGATACAAGTGCAGACCGTATAGGTTTGTTACATCAGTATACATGTGCCATGGTGGTTTGCTGCACCTATCAACCTGTCATCTAGGTTTTTAGCCCTGGATGCATTAGGTATTTGTCCTAATGCTCTCCCATCCCTTGCTCACAACCCCTAGACTGACCCCAGTGTGTGTTGTTCCCCTCCCTGTGTCCATGTGTTCTCATTGTTCAACTCCCACTTACCACTTATGAGTGAGAACATGCAGTTTGGCTTTCTGTTCCTGTGTTAGCTTGCTGAGGATGATGGCTTCCAGCTTTATCCATGTCCCTGCAAAGGACATATCTCATTCCTTTTTATGGCTGCATAGTATTCCATGGTGTATATGTGCCACATTTTCATTATCTAGTCTATCCTTGATGGGCATTTGTGTTGGATCCATGTCTTTGTTATTGTAAATAGTGTTGCAATAAACATACATGGACAAGTGTCTTTATGGTAGAATGATTTATATTCCTTGGGGTACACACCCAGTAATGGGACTGCTGGGTCAAATGGTATTTCTGGTTCTAAATCCTTGAAGAATCACCACACTGTTTTCCACAATGGTTAAACTAATTTACACTCCCACCAACAGTGTAAAACTGTTCCTATTTCTCCACAGCCTCACCAGCATCTATTGTTTCCTGACTTTTTAATAATCACCATTCTGACTGGCGTGAGATGGTATCTCATTGTGGTTTTGATTTGCATTTCTCTAACGATCAGTGATGTAAAACAAACTAAAAGTGAGCAAAGGAAATAACAGACACTTCTAAAAAGAAGACATTTATGTGGCCAATGAACATATTAAAAAACAAATAAATATTGAACACAATTGAAGACACAATTGAAGATGATATTCCCTTCAGGGCTAGTGCTTTTCAGCAGGCTAGTAGCCTCTTGAAATAAGTTTTCAATCTTTGGAAGCATCCAAGTTAAAACAAGATGACCACTTGATGGGAATGCCAGAGAGGAGTTCCTCAGGAGGAAATTCCTTTAAAGGATGCTTAGCCTCTCACTCTTTTCTTGGGTCTACTTCTCAGGGATTGTGGCACATTAATACTTGAAATATTTTGGGGATTTCACTGTCTACTTTCCCTTCAAAAACAAATATCTCTGCCCATGGCACTGATAAATGAACAGTGACCATATTTTGTAGCAAAATCTCCTGGTTCTTTAATCACACACTATCAGACGAAGGTTGTACAATTGACCCAAGTACAGTCAACTGGCAAGTCAACAAATTACTGTATGATCTCACATTTAAAATCCATAGCTTGGTGTGGTAAGATATAATGAGGCAATCAATTTCTTCTTTGGGAATTCTTAGATTAGGACTATTTATATGAAAGAGAAGGCAATGTTTGCATGGAGGCAACCCATGAGAAAGAATTCAGACTGGAATGGCCATAGTAATGCAAAGTCAAAATTTTGAAGGATCAGAATTTTGGAAAGTGAAAAAAACCTGATTTATATAGAAAGGCCTAGAGCAGATTCACAGAGAAAAGTAGGGATGCTAAAAGAGGGTAACAGAGACACTGAGTATCCAGTCCCTGGGACTGCCTCAGCCCTGTTAATGCTTAGTTTCCAAATCACTGGTATTTGCAGAATAAACTTCAATTGACCTAGTGTTAGAAGATATTTGTTCCCTGCAAATAAATGAGCCACTAATGTTAAGCAACCAAAGATTCTATTAGCTTTTAATGTAACCTATGTTCATTTGCTCACATGCATGTGGTGGGCAAGGTTGGCAGCACGTGGCCAAGGATGATGAATATTGCTTTGATTATTTGGAGTTAGCAGTGCATTTAATGAAAACGTTAACGTGCCAGTTTTGCATGGCAGTAGATTGCTAAGAGAAATTAGCTAAAACAATCAGAGCACATATTCTGAAATCAGCCTATCTCATAAAAAATGGTCAATGAAGAAAGCTCCTGAATCAATTAAACAAAACAAACAAGAAAACTTACTTTCACTAGACACAGTAAAAAAAAAAAAATGAGGAATATTAGAAATGGACTTTAAAAAGAACAATCAATAATAAAAATCAATATCTTTGTTTTAGAATAGCAAAGCACCATTAAAATTAAGTCTGAAGTCTGGGTTTGCATAAATAAAATAAGTGCATTCAAATCTGTAATCTTTATTATTTTACATCTTAGACATATTAGGAATGGGCTTGTTTGGGATCTCATGAAAGATTTGTCTGTTTCTGATACACCAAGAGGCAAACACTCAGGCAAGAGCTAGCTAAAGGACTGGCTTAAAGTAGGGGAGAACAAGAAAACCATAAGCACAACATTCTATAATGTGCAGTAACAGGGTCGACTCATTATTTCTCTAGTGAGCTACTAGTGAGCTATGTGGTTTAATATGCCTCCATGATGGACAGGGTCTGAATGCTTGGGGGAACTATGCAAGGGACCCAGAAAGGCATCAGCAACCTATCTTTCCAGCCTTATTTCCCATTAACTCTACTCTAGTAGAGCTTGTTTGTAAACTGTTAAATATCATTGGCTGTTAAATGCTTTTGCACATATTCTTCTGACCGTCTGGAATTCTTTCTTCTTTCTCTCTCTATAAATTCTACAGTTTTTAAAAAGCCAAGCTCAAAACTTATCTCTTCTATAAGGCTTTCCTGGTCCACTGGGATTAAATGGAATTTATTTACTTCTAATTCTTACAGAACTTACTGTTCCTATCTCTGTCTTGAAAATTACATTCATTATTGAAGCATTATTTTGTTGGTTTTAAAAGTAGATCATCTGTTGAATAATTATTTGACTTCATATGGTAAGACTGGCTTTATCTCTACAACATAATTATAAGTTTTCTTTGTGATACTAGGTCTTAAACATTAGTGTTAATTCAAAAGCCACTACCATGAAAGAAAGTGACACATCATCAAACTCCACCACTTTCAATATTCTTCTGAGCCCACTAAGAAAAGTTCTCCAGGTTACAGAAAACGTGCCTAAATCTGTGATCCTGTAGAATATGGTTCAATGTAAGCATTTATTAGTCATGTAAGTAGTAATTAGCAAATGTACTTCCCCATGGTACCATTTGACTTGTTTCCCCATCCCCTGTATTTTCTGTATACTGGGGATAAGATTTAAAGTCTTGAATATTATACATGAATACACATTTATATATACACACATTTGAGATATTATATATGTATACAATGCATCATAGACAATGCTGAATTCTTCATATTACCTCACATCAGCAGGCATATAAGGTTTTATTGTCTTATCTTTATTCTGCTAAAATTAATCAGTGAGTTCAGCCAGTGACAGCCTGTTCTCTTTATTGTCAGGTTCCCCAGTACAGGCTGACCTGACATATATTTGCCTGGAATCACACCAGTTTATGCCTGTTTCCTGGCATAATTATCAATAGTGCACCCTTTTTTTCTCACAAAGTATCTTTTTATTTTATTAGAGTAATTATTTTACTCTAATAAATTTAGTAATTAATTACTTATTATTAATAAATCTAATAAATTACTACTAATCTAATAAATTAGTAATTAATTTAGACAATAAATTACCCATCAACCTCGATATTGATGATGATTACTTTAGTCAGTTATTTCATTAGAGATTGCGAAGTGTTTTTCTAATTCCACCATAATTCTACATTTATTAACTGAACTATTTCTATACAATACTCTTTTCCATAACTACAGGACTTTTGGGACACCCTGAAATACAATTTACTTCAGAATGGCAAGGTAAATGCCTAATTCTTTCCCTTCAGTGACAATTTTCAGAATATTGACTTGGTGCCCAGACAGGCTCTAATGTTATCCAATATCCCAAGAGTTTTTATTGTTTCTCTCTCTTTAAAATATTAAGAATGCATGGCTTTTTACATCTTAAATGTGTTTTAATCAATCATAGTTATTATTGATTCTTTAATTGTCTCACCTTTGGATAGTGAAAGTCCACTCAAGCTGGCTCATGTGTCATTTTGACAATGGCTCGTTTTCCTTTCACAGTTTTCTTATTTTGTGTCACACAGTGTTCCAGATTTATCTTCTATATTTCTTCTCCCAGATCTGAAACCAAGCATTTCCCAGAAGTAGTGATTAAGTGGATAACTCAGAAGAGAGTTTCAGAAAACCTCTCCCCTCTTTCCTCCAAAATATTAGCAGGAAATAGCCTGTAATTAAAAAGAAAAAGCTGACCCTTTAGTTATATCAGCACCTGGCGGTGACTGTGTATACAGTGAGAAAGCAGCAATAGAGCTAAAAAACAGTCCAGATCTGACCTGTGTATTCAAGAAGTTTGTAGTTTAGAAGGAAAACCAGACTTCTATCAGTAACTGTAGGTGAATATAGTGTATTATTATCAGCTCTTCCGCATGGCAAAATTAGAAAATATCTGCTTAATTCAAATGGATATAAATAGCATGCACCAATGTTTTGACTCCCTATGAATTGACTTAATAATCATTTTTGCCTAAATATAAAGCTTTGATAATCCCCTGGCTGAAAAACCTAGTAGGGAGATTTACAGTTTTCCTTTACTCAAATAAGAAAATGTGTATATTCATTAACCTTCTTTGTGATTTTGTCATTCCTATAAATATTCACAAAGAAGCTAGCAGTTCACATAGAAGAAATCAGATGTCTCAGTCTTCTTAGAAATATAAACAACTGCCGGCCGGGCGCAGTGGCTCACGCCTGTAATCCCCGCACTTTGGGAGGCCAAGGCGGGCGGATCACAAGGTCAGGAAATCGAGACCATCCTGGCTAAACGGTGAAACCCCGTCTCTACTAAAAATATTTAAAAATTAGCGTGGCGTGGTGGTAGGTGCCTGTAGTCCCAGCTATTTGGGAAGCTGAGGCGGGAGAATGGCGTGAACCCGGGAGGCGGAGCTTGCAACGAGCCGAGATCGCACCACTGCACTCCAGCCTTGGCGACAGTGCGAGACTGTCTCAAACAAACAAACAAACAAAAAGAAATATAAACAACTGCCTTTCCTTCTCCTCAAAAACACTACTAAGACAAGAATTTCACCTGCTACACTTTTCTGAAATCTCAGAGGAAAAACTTCAGGAGCCGCAGTGGCTCAGGCCTGTTGTCCTGGTGCATAAGGAGGTGAGGCTAGACGTTCGAGCCCAGCCTGGGCAACATAGAAACCTCTCATCTATGTACCAAAACACACACACACGCTTCAGAAATGTTTATTTTTTCACATTTAGAAAAACAAGAAAATGTTTGCTTCTCCAGTAAATTTTCAGTAGCAATGCTCCACAGCTTTGCAGATGTCAATGCTTTGTTACATGGGAAAAATCTGCTAAGTGTCAAGGAATGGCTTCAACTTGTTAAGAGTTCAAATATACTCTCATGTTTGCCATTTGAGTACCAGACTCTGAGCCCTAGACTCCCCAGCTCAGAGGCAAAGTCCCTCTTAATCTAAGAGAGGTATTTAAGTGGCTCTAGGAACTGGCTTGGGGAGGATTTCAATATGACGGAGATTACTACAGGGCTAGTCTCTTTTATCAGTCTTAAGTTTCAAGCTGTTTTATATTCATTCTTTGCTATTCTTCTTACCATTTTCCTAGGAACATGAACAAAATAACCAATACAAGTGATAGGGACAATAAGTAAAAGCTAGAGTTAATAAAGAAAACATATGATTGACTTTGTGAATTAGCATATTTTAAACAGTTACCTCTCCCAAGTATGACAGAATTTTGTTCATTCAATTTCTTCTCTCATCTATTCATTCTGATATACCATGTATCTACTCTAAAAATATTTAATGATAACTTAGTAAGTTTCATCAGGTGCTATACTTGGCATTTAGAATGGAAAGCTTCATAATAGGTGAGTCCTATTCTTGAGGCACTCATGGATATATGTGATAGAGGTTTATAAATAATTATAACATGGTTCAGATAGCGTCAATATTACTAGGAATCCTGAATAAGGCCTTATAGAACTAAGCATAAAAAATAAGTAGAAGCTACCAGATTAAAACAGCATTTAGGCAGAGGAACCAGCAAAATGAAGTTATTTATGTAGGAAGCCATTAAGTAAACTTGTGATATTCCCCTAAATAATCCTGATTTCAATATTTATAACTATATTCCAACAAATCTGAGGTTATATGTTCTGATTTTGTCTGAAAAATTAGAGTCACTTAATTGTGAACTGAGAGAAGAATTTTCCCTTTCATATACTATTTTAAAAACAATCAAAAGAAAAATATTCATTAAAACGAAGAAATTTAGAACTGTTAAGGGGCATTTTCTTATAGAAAAAAATGACCATATGCAATTTAATAGTTCTTTCACTAAGTACTTGTTTGAAATCACAATCCTTGTTTTGCTTTTCCTTAGAAGACAATGAAGGTGTTACTTGCTACTGAAGTCTACATCTTTCTTTCCCACCACTGTTTCCAGGAGCATCTTTCAATTCTACATTAAGTGAGAGAAACAAATAAAACAAACAAACAAAAAAGAAACTCCATCATTCTTTCCCCTCACTGTACTTTACAAGTTATCTTTTTTTTTCAAAGAGAACTCAGATGTAACTCCACTTGCTCTTATCTTTTTTTTAAGTTTAAAATTTGTGTTAACCCAGAATTAAAAATGCTTACTAGTTTTAAGATTTTGAAACAGGTATATAAACTTTCTTAGTGTCTTTAATTATAAAATAAAGATTTTTGTTTTGTTACAAAGCTGGCAAGTCATGAATATCATCATAAGTCGATTTCTCCCTCTTCTCTTAAATTTTTGCAGGACATGAAATCTGCATTTAAGGTTTCTGTAGCAACCTGCATTGTTCTGACCAATTGCCTGCAGATTAAAGTTTATGTCAAAGATCGTTTTTTGAAATAATCATTTTTTTCCAGAATGACATTTAAAGGAAAAATTTTAATAGGCACAATAATGTAATTTAAACATGCTTGATTGGTCTTTAAGACATAAACTTGCAATACGGGAACTCTGGTGGTAATTTTAAAAATAGGAATGAGTTCCAAAATTGCTTTGAATAATGACAGCATTATTGAAAAAAATTGACTTTTTATAATGTGATTTCAAAGGGCACTGTTTAATATTTATTTAAAGAATGAAGTTTGAATGTTTTTGCACTCCATGAAGTGAAGGCCTGATTCTCATTCAAACTAGTTACTTGAATTTTTGACATTTATTTATTCTGCAAATTAGGGAAGAGATATACAATTGATCATTATTCTAAAACTTTTCTATAAGTCAAGTGAATTTTGATACTTCAGAAGGAAGCATCATTGAGTGAAAAGAATGTAATCTATGGAGTTATGCAGCCCTGGGATTTTTATCCTATTTCCTATACTTATTGAATTGAGTATTAGTTTCTTCATTTTTTTTTAATTGAAGAATATAGTTACTCTTCATAGGGGACAATTTTTTAAATTTTTATTTTTAGTGTCTAATGTCCAACCCCAAACCCCTTGTTTGAAATACTTATTTGTGGTAGAGCCCCATTCTCCCTTCCCTTGAGGATGCTGGTATGCCGTAGCTTGCCTGTGTTATAGCTTCTACCCTGGTTCATCAGTTCTCAAGCTCTTGTACCACACACAGGAAGAATGAGGATATGGTGGACATTGATGGGTGAGGAGGGCAGAGAAGAATTTTACTGAGCAACGGAACAGCTCTCAGCGGAGAGGGGATGAGTGGGTGGTTCCCCACCCCTGTAGTCAGGTGGTTCTCTCCTCCCCATGTAGCTGGGTCCAGGCCTTTTTATGGGCTCAGAATAGCAGAAGGGCAGGTTATAGATAACATTGGAAAAGGCAACATTAGATTGGTTAAAAGGTGTTATTCAGAAAGAATCATTCCAGGAAGGGCGGGCAAACAGGAACAGAAGTCTTCACTCTGGGTTGCAGGTTTAATCCAGAACGAGCAGTCCAGTCGTTCAGCCTTCAGGCTCTTTTTGGCTTGGAGGTGGAGTTTCACCCAGGACCCACCCCTATCTGCCTAGGCATTTGGCTGCCTCCCGTAGCTATCACTTGGACTTTCAACACCCACCTCCTTGTTCTTTTCAATTTTCCAAAACTGACCTTCAGATAACCAATCAATTGTGAGCTTTCAGTAGCATACTACAATAAATTTCTGCTCTTCTAAGACAACGTAGGTCAATTTCTATTGTTTGCTGTTGCTTGCAAGCAAATACTCTGACTTGAACACCTAGTATAATAGGTTGAATAATGGCCACTGAAACATATTAAGTCCTAATCCTTAGGACTTGTGAATAGCATTTGGAAAAAGAGTCTTTGCATGTATAATTAAGGTAAGGATTTAGAGATGAGAGAGTTGATCACATGTGTCCTTGTAAAAGAGAGGAACAGAGAAACATTCACAGAGAAGTCCATGTGAAAATGGAGAGAGGGACTGAAATGATGCAGCCACAAGCCAAGGAATGGTGAAGCCAAAAGCAGGAATGGAATCCCTCCTAGAGCATATGGAGCAGTGCCAACATAGATTTTGGCCTATAGAACAATGAGAATACATTTTCGTTGTTTTAAGCCACAGGAGGTAATTCGTTGTAACAGCCACAGAAAAGAATACACCTTCCTTACCCATTTTAATGAATATTGGATAGAATCTATCAACTATCTATCTATCTACTTAGCCATCTATCACAAAAGTTTATGTTACTATCTTTTACATAATGTGTCTAAGATGAATAAATTGATAGGTGAATGCAATTATAGGTTGATGCAAAAGTAATTGCAGTTTTGCCATTGAAAATAATGGTGAACACCACAATTACTTGTGCACCAACCTAATATTATTATTACTATTATTATTGCTATTGTTAATTGTGTAATCAATAGGTACCTATAATGTGTCAGACACTGTACCAGGAACTATACATAGGCCTTGTCCCTGTTTCCAAGAAACTCATTTGTGAGGCACAGATTTCAGAGCTCAGTCTTCATCAGACACAGCATGGAGAGCAAACGCCCAATAGAGGCAGAGAAAAATGGCATTCACCAAAGCACAGACATGCCCATGTTTTTGCTATGACCTGGGAAAGGCAAGTAATTCAGTGTGCCTACAATAAGAAACAGAGAGAGAAAAAACAGAGAGAGAGAGAGAGTTACCTATATCTTACACCAATAATGCCCTCTGGGGGCATTTCTTTTTCTAAAATTAATGTGTTTCAAACACTTAACTTTGCTTAAACCACCCAAGCTTAGGCTTTTTTTCATTTGTGATACAAAGGAAATAATATGGAACTCATAGGTTTGTTCTGAATTTTAAATGAGTTAGTGTATTTCACATAAATTATTTCATTTATTAGAAAGAACAAAATTATAAGGCTATATTATTAAATACACATTTAAAGACAAAAAATGTTAAGTCAAAGTGATAGTAAGAAATAAAACAAGTTACTCCAGCAATTTATTCAGAGACTAACCTCCTAAATTTGATATTATATGACCATAGACAGAACAATTAGGAACCAAAACAAAGTCTCTTTGGCCTAAGGACAAAAGGTTTTTCATACTAGATTCTGCTCATTCAGATCTAACAATGATAGTGGAACCTGGAAGTTGAGGAAGCCAATAGGTGATTTTTAAAAAGGGTTGATCTGAGAAGGCAGGATTTTTCAAAATCTCACTGAGACTTTGATAAAGCTTGGCAGATTGAGCATCTTTATTTATTGCACCTCTTTCCCAAAGTCTCACTGAAATAGGAATAAATGAATATGAAAATTAGAAGTCCTACAGACGATGAGAGGAGAAAACAGCAGGTAAAAACTTTTGGATTATGGAAAGCATATTTATGAATGTATGAATGGTAACTGATTTTAGTAAGAAAGAAAAACCTAAGTGATTGGGGATGGGCAAAGACTGAGGTAAGGGAAGTGGAACAAAGTGAGAGAGTGGAGGCCAAACAAAGGGATTTCAAACCAAAGAACCTGGAAAGGTGCAAGGAACAGTGGGTCTATGTGTCTCTCAAGATTAGCATTTAAAGTGGGCTGAAACAGTAGGAACTCCATCTCCTCTCCTCTTACCAGTGATACTTTGCCTCCGCCCAGGCAGAAGATGGATATTTACTCCCTAAAGAAGTTGAACCTGAGGAGCAATTGACTGAGGGAAATCAGACACACAGAAATAGCTGTGTACAAGGATGAGTGTGATATTGGAAGCAAGGGGATTATGTGAAATTCTGTAAATGGAATAACAAGAAATTCACCTTTCTCTCATTCTCTCAGTCCTTAGATATAGACATATCAACCTCCGTGTTGGATAGAGAGGCATAATTTAGATAAAAATGGATCAATTGGTAGTTTTGGTGATAAAAATATGAGAGATTTCTTTTGCATCTATTTACTCAATAAAGTATGAAATATGAGGCAAGATCCTCAAGTAAAAGTAAAAAGAATTGATCAGGATGATCAATCTTGAGAAGAAAAGAGTTATTAGGTAATCAGTTGAAGAGTGGAAATGAGAATACAGGAGGAAAAAGTAGAGGCTCATTCATATGAGAAAGTAGTAGATTAATGAATCAAAGTCTCTAAGATAGTGCCCTAATCTTTGTTTCTAACATTATTCTCCAATAATAGAAACCAGGGCTCCTTGCAGAGGCGTCCAATTCTAGGACTGCGGTAAGAAATATGTAACTGAAGCTTGGAGCATCTTGTATTGCTAGAGAGTAGGAAAGTGCTAGAAAATAAAATAACTACAAAGATGCGAAGTATGTCAAAGGGACATGAAAGCCAACTGAAAGAGCTTATAATGGCCAAGGCTGGAACAATTTGGGCAACAAAATACATATGGTAGCTTTTAATTATAACCTAAAGTATAAAACAAATGTCCTTGGGTCCATAGTGATGTAGACAAAAGATTGAATAAATAAATAGGGAGAAGAGATAAATCTGTGACACAGAATTCCAAATAATTTATGTAGATACCCCACCTCTTATGGAGGTAGACTATAACTCTTTACCTCTCGTGTGTGGGCTGTGCATAGTAACTGACTTCCAGATAATGCAGTATGGAACAGGGGGACAAAGTAACTTTACAGTGAAGAAAACTAACAAGCGTTACTCCAGTCAGGTGATCAAGGCTAACATCAACAATGATAAGTCATGTCGATAGTTATGTAACCTTGATATGCTATGATGAGAATGGCAGTACACCTCTGTGGTCTTCCTCCCTGAAACCCACAACCTCAGTCAAATCATGACCAGACAAATCTCCATTCTACAAAACACAAGACCGGTGTTTTTTTAAACTGTCAAGGCAAGTCTGAGAAACTGTCACAGACAAGAAAAACCTGAGGAAACGTGATAGGTAAATGTCATCATGGAAAGGAGTCTGTAAGGCATCTTGAAACAAACAGAAAAAGAGTACTAGGTAAAAACTAAAGAAAACAGAATAGAGAGTTCACTTAAAAATAAGGTGTCAATATTGTTCACTAATTGTGGCAAAGTAACTGCACTAACATAAGAAGTTAGTTAATAGGGGAAACTAGATGTGGGACATCTGAGAACTCTCCATACTCTCTTCTGATATTTCTTTAAATCTAAACTAGTCTAAAATTAAATAGTTTATTTAAAAACAAATACAGAAAAGAAAAAACTCTGCAGAGGTTGAATAATTGCTGGAATGGAATAGCCACACTAGGTAAGCTAGAAGGATGGGAGGCGGTGTGGTATTCAGAGAAGTGAATATTTTAGAGGTGGTATATTATTTAAGGATGGCAGTATGAATAATATGATCCAGGGAGGGTTACTGATGGATGTGGAGGTTACTGAGGACCAGAAAAGTGAAAAAAAGTAAGAGGCTAAAACTAAGAGGCTGTAACAACAAAATCATGCTTATAGATATTGAAGTTGTCCAATTAGTATCAGAAATAAAATAAGACAGGGCATCTTTGTTTCACTGCAGAATGATCTCAGAGAAGCTCTTTGACTGTAGAACACAGGATTCTATGAAGGTGAGCTTTTGCCCCTGAATGAAATGCTAATTCCTAATTAAAACACAAACACAAGTAATAATGGATCCCATTCTAAGTAACTCCAGTCAGCTTCCAGAGGAGGGAAGAGTATCTAGTTTCACCAGAGTAACAGATTATCAAAAATAGCAGTGAAGTCAGCTGTTTTTCTCCATGTGGGATGCTGAAACACGAACATATGTTGGTGTTTGATATTCATTCAGCCTTCTGCAATATGGCAACAAATTCAAACTCTAGCGGTCCAGAGGAAAAAAAAAATTTTTTTGGTGATTGTCTACAGAAGTAGAGTCATAGCATTTAGAAGGTCCTTTGAAATAGTTCTCTTAACTTTCTTCTCTGGGGCTTTGAGAAGTAACATAAAGTTGCAGGGTGCCAGATTAGATTTGTGCCAGTAAGTTTGACTATTATTTTATCTGTTTTCTGATACTTGTTTAATAATGTTTTAATAGTGCTTCAACTTTAAAGCATTTTATATTTTTCACGGGTTTGATATGTAACATTTACCTGAGGTAGGAAGAGCAGATATTATCCCAATTTTACTAATGTGAAATCAGAAGCTGAGAGGAGGTAAATCACTTTCTTAATGTCAGTACAGCTATTAAGAGGCAGATTTAGACCTTAGAATGCACATGCTCTGATTTTAATCCAATGCTCCCCCGCCCCATTATGCCATACAACCCCTCATTACTACTGACTCAGAAACCATCACCTTCTTAAGTATTCATTTACTGTGTCTATATTAGGCCTTTTTTAAGTGGAAATTTTTTTTACAAAATTAACAAGGTATTTGGAAATTTTTAGGTAACTTTCCATTTTAAGTCAATGCTACTAGTCTGTATGCTTTTAAAATCAAGAACCAGAATTTTTTGCTAGTAAGTCCTTAGATTGAACCCTGTACCTGTACATAGCAGAAGCTCAGTAAATATTGAACAAATAAATGAATATATTTTGAAGGATTTAAAAAATTTGAATATATTTATTTAGCAATGTAATTATACCTCAGATATTTTGAGGCAGTATATTTCCATTGGAGAGACAACAGAGTTTAAACTCAGAACACAGGTTTCATATTTTCGATCAGCTTCCTCAGCTAGAAAATAAATTTTTTAATACTTTGGCATTCAATTTTATGACAACAAAATAAAAATAGGTATTATATTATGATTTCATCAATGTTTGTGATAGATTAAATTATTGACCCTAATTATTTGCTCTTCCTTATATCTATTCTTTTTGTCCTTCAACTTTGCAATGACAGAAATGTTGCTCCTCCTAAAAAGGGTCTTTTGATTTTGGGCTCAGCCATGTGGCTGTTTTGGCCAATGGAATGTAAGCAGAAATGGTACAAACAGAGCATTGGCATTGATTTATACGACTGGGCATTCTTTCCTATACATCTGCTGTTCTCCTGAGAACATGTTATGGCTTGGTTGCTGGTCCCAGGAGGAGGATCCACCTGCCAACATATAAGAGAGAAACAGATGCTTATTGCCGTATGCCACTGAGATTTTGAGGTTGTTTGTTATGCAGCAATATTTAACTAACAACCTGCTTTATCCTAATTAAAAAGATTGTTGTCAGTTACAGGAAACAGAAAGGGGGAAAAAAAAGGAGCTGAGGATGCTGTTTGGTTATTGTGATCTTTAACATTACTCTATTTGTCCCAAGCACTGGACTTTTAGTTCATGTAGACTTTTGACGTCCTCAAAATTGTGTCACTATGTTCTTGGTTAACATATCTGTCCTTCCACCTTATCTACAAGTCTTTAAAAAACGTGAGTGCCTCAGATGTTTCTTTATAGATCTCCCACTTTTCTTCCTCATCAGAATCCAATTTGAGAATCTCCAATTTCTCTAGATCTATCTTCCCCTTACAGGTTTATAGTTTTCTATGAACCTTATAATACTTGTTACTCTGTTGTCCAGGACATCTGCTCCAAATTCTAGCTAACATAAGATTGACGTGGGAAACCTTTCATTCAGATTATTGGACTATCCATCCCCATTGATTCTCTGGCAATGGGATTAGGGTATCTGCATTAAAAAATTTCTCCTGAAAAAGTTATTTTACAATAAGCATTTACAATAAATATCTGAGCTAGTTTTCATTTTCTTGGCTATTAAGGACTACACTTTCCCCCAAATATTGCCCTCATTTCCATTTCACTAACCAGTAAACCAGACACATTTCTGTATTTCTCTCACAAACTTCAGAAAGCAAAACTTGTCGATGAAGCAAGGCAAAAAATAATAGAAACTACTTTGGACAGAGTATCTCTAGTAAATATATAGCTGATTGATGTCTTCCATTACTGTTTTATCTACCTTCTGTAAGGTGTTTTTAAAATTATAATTATTTTAATTAGAAAAGAAATACCCATATTGTCTTTCTAATTAGGCATCAAAATATCCTTTCTGAATCCTTTTTATTTCTACTGTTTCTACTCCCTAGTTTATGGGTTTTCAAAAAGATATCCCAGGTTTGTTACCTAGAAAATTTTTATCTTTGAAATAAATTTAATCTCTCAAATATATATTAAAGCTAAGAGAAATTAAACGCCATTTACAGATGAGTACACTGAGTCTTAGAGGGTCGTTAGTTACTTGCTTGAGGATGTATAATGTATAAGTAGCAGAACTAGGTTTAAATCAAAGCCAGTTAAAAGCCTGAGATCTATCATACCACATTGCCTAAATGCTAAATTAAGTTGAAATTACGTTTGAATTTTCTCCTTAGTCCCCAAGATCAACTGTTTAATTTCAAATGCCCTTAGAGACCCTTACAAATACTATACAATTTTCGTGATTCCTAGAAAAAAATTGTTGGAATTTTCCAGCTGAAATACATAAAATAACAGTTTGAAAAGAGCAGCAGGCAAATAAAGGCTGCTAATAGAAAAAAAAAAAAAATCCCAGAAATAGGCTGACACTGTATTTCTTCCTTCTATCTTTTAGTCACCCTCACAATTTAATTATTGCAACGCAACCTCAGGAGTATATTCGCCAATTTGACACAGTTGCTATTTGTGTTAACAGTCAAGATGAATGGCAGGTGGACTAAAATGTAGGAAAAAGAATACCCTTGAAAATGTTTAGTTCCAGTTTTCTCTAGTAGGCTCTGAAGTTCTAACATTTAGAAAATATCACATTCAAATATTCAAGAAAAATTAGTTACTGAGAGGGAAGAAAAACTAAATAAAGACTTTTCTAAACTACTTGCTTATTTCTCTGGGTTTATTCTTTTGAAAAGACCAACGATGACTCCATTAAAAATATTCATTGTTTAGAAATATCCTAAGAACTCATTGATTTAGTCCAGGCACTATCACTCTGGTGGGTTATATGTTTTCCAAACTATTCATGCATCTCTAGTTTCTTCCTTTGCCTGATTCTTTCTACCTTTGGTTCATTACCCACCTCATTAAAATTTCCATCATGGAAGGACACCTAATTCAGTCCCATCACTTATTAACTGCTCTTGCAGAGGCTGCATGTGTTGGCAAATTCAAAGCAGTGGCTAAGTGGTGTATTGAGCCTAGCCTCTATTTTCCTGTTGGATTATCAACTAAGGATCAGCAAATGCTCTTTGAGTGAACACTGTATGCAAGGTGGTCTATTAAGAACTACTGGATTTCCAGATTTCTCTGACCATAAGGAGCTTGTGATAAGGGATAGAGGAGGCTGGATTTTATGCACAGGGCAATCAAAAAGGGGACAGTTATAACAGATGTGCTTATACATATGCATTTGAACATGTGCTTTGCATACAAATAAATACTATCAGAGTTAATGGACATGCGTGAGGATAGATGTACTGAAAAGAATTACTTTTACACTGATGCTAGCAACATAAATGGAATAAAATGTCTATTGTGCCAAAGCTATTATCAGACAAGGGAGATTTAACAAATAAGAGAGACGGGTAGCTCAATCTCAAGATTGATAATTAAGATCAATTCTCAATCTCAACAAACAGACTGAAAATGTCAGCAAGATGATAGTTGCTGTCTGATCACTGGGTCAACAAAGGGAGTTCAGCAAAAGTGACTAGTCATAAGAAACACATCCCTGTGGCTGATTCCACCCAGTATACCCACATGATCTTTTTGTCTTCAAGGGCTTTAAATATGCAAATAGTGGCATCTGAAATTATTGTTATCACCAGAGTAGATGAGCATTCTTTTTAACCAAAATATAGGATCTTAATTTAGAAAGGAATCGAGAGATTATCCAGTCCCAAACCCTACAAATTAGGAAACCAGTGCCATGTATGATAAAGAAACTTGCTAATCTTGCCCCTAAGATTCTCCTCATTTCTTCCTGTCACCCTTTGCCAGAGCACTGAAAACATCTGCAGCTGATTATAGAACCATTTTAATAATCTTTGAAGTATCACCAAAAATGACATAGAACGCCAAGAGTAGAGATGGGTCAAATTTTTTATCAGTGAATTTGACATTGATCCTTGTCTAAACAGCTCTAAAAGTAGTGACCCGAGGTAATAGGATCCAGGATGAATTCACTAAATGTAATTCATGCAAACTAGCCTTTTTTGTTTGTTTGTTTCTACCAACTTTTCTTGTGGTAACCGAGAGCTTATCAAGAAAAAGAATACCTAAAATTGAGCAACGTGTTCCATCAAGTTTCTCATGAAGATAGAGAGGAGGGGAAACTCTCACGTACCACCGTTAGGAGAACCAACTTCTACAAGCATTCTAGAAACAACATTAATTTCACCCTATGCCACATGTCCTCCACATGCCCCTCTAGATTCACTGTGAGCCTCACCTTTCTTCAACTTATCCTCTGCTGCCTGGGAGCTTGACCTCTATGAGTTACATCAACAGAGTTCTTACACATTCTGGTTTCTAGCTGAGCTGAGCCATTGAGAGTCCAGGCAAGAGACTGGAGAAGGAAGAAAAATCGAATATTTGGTTTCCCACCCCGTAGGATGGTCACACGGTGGTGATGTATCATATGTATCATAGCCACCACCAAACGTCACATCTCCCAAGAGAAGTCTGAATGTTACACTTTCCCTAAATGTCCTAAAAACCTTTTTCTTGAGTTGAGGGGTGTAACAATTTTATTGCTGTTTATTTTTCCCAGGGATCTTGGACAATCCCTTCTGGTTTCTTTACATCCCAACCATACCCCAGCAATCAGTATCTGTGTAAATAAAACTTGAATCATCCTAATCTTTTCTTGTTTGTATACTGACAGAGAAACAACTTGGACCAATGCTCAACCATCTGGAAATACATGTCACAGAAATCTCACATGGGTGCACAGCACTGTTGTAGAAATAGAAACTCACAGGCAACATAATCTAATGTAGGGAATGAATTAATGAAAGGTGTTCATTCACTCACCACTAAAGAGATGTTCCTAGTGGTATGAAATAACAACCTATTATCATTATGGTTTTTAAAAATAGCTTTATTGCAGTATAATCTAAATACAACAAACTGAAAATATGTAAAGTATACAATTTGGCAATTTTGACCAATATAAGTCCCCATGAAACCATCATCACAATCATGATAACAGACATATCCATCTTCCCTAAAAGTTTCCTAATGCTACTTTACAATCCTTCCCACTCTATCCAGTTTCTTTTTACTAGGCAACATGAATATGCTTTCTAATGGTAGAGATTAATTTACATTTAATGTAATTATATATTCCATGTATACAGAATTTTATATTATGCTATATATTTATTGTAGTATATGTTTATATTTATTTATTATATATGGGATCAAACAGTATGTTCAATTTTTTGTCTGGCATTTGTCACTCAGTATAACTATTTTGAGAGTCATACCTATAGTTTTGTGCGAGCAGTTTATTCATTTTTTATTGATGAGTGGAATTCAATTGTATAAGTATAGGGCAGTTTTTAAATTTGTTCATCTGTCGATGAATATTTGGATTGTCATTGGTTTGGGGCTATCCAAATAAAGTTATTATAAAAATTTATAGTAAATACATGTCTTTCTACAGACTTATATACTTTCATTTCTCTTGAGTAAATACCTAGGAGTAGAATAACTGGGTCATAGAGTAGTTGCATGTTTAACACTTTTAAGAAATTGCTGAACAGTTTTCCAAAGTTGTGGTATCCATTTTATTTTCCCACCAGCACTTGGTATCGCTGATATTTATTAATAATTTTAGCCATTCTAGTAAGTATGTAGTGGTATATCATTGTTTACTTGTTTTTACAAGTAAAAACTTTGTACTTTCTAATGACTAAAGATGTTGAGTGATCATCTTTTCATTTGTTCATGTACCATCTATACATCTTCTGTCTATCCATGTGTTTTTCCCACTGTATATTAATTTTTTTCTTACTGAAATTTGAGGATACTGTATATATTCTGGCTACAAGTCCTTTATCAGATATATAATTTGCAAATATTTTTTCTCAATCTATGGCTTGTATTTTCATTCTCTTGACAGTGTCCTTTGGAAGAAAAGGAGCTTTTTTTAAAGTTCAATTTATCAATTTTTAAATTTATGGATTATACACTTATGTTGTATTTACACAATATTTCCCCAATCCAGAGTAACAAATATTTTCTCTCATGTTTTCTTTTAGAAGTTTCTAGAAGCTTTAGATTTCACATTTAGGTCTATAATCCATTTTGAGGTAATTTTTGGATATAGGGTTAGGCATATATTGAGGGTTCTCTTTGCATATGGACATGTGATTGCTTCTGCACTATTTGTTAATTAGATTACCCTTTCTTCACAAAATTTCCTTTACATCTTAATCAAAAATAATTGACTAATTGACTAACAACATAGTTGTTTTCGTCAGCAAGGGCTGCAGTACAAAATACCTTAGACTTGGTTGCTTAAACAACAGACATTTATTTCTCATAATTCTGGAGGCTAGAAGTCCAAGATCAAGGTTCCAACTGATTTGGTTTTTAGTGAGGGCTCTCTTCCAGACTTGCAGATGGCCACCTTCTTGCTATATCCTCCCATGGTCTTTTATAGATTCTTGCCATGAAGAGTGAGAGAACAAATCTTCTGGTGTCTCTTATAAGGACACTAATCCTATCTGACAAAGGCCCCACGCTTATGAATAATTTAACCTTAATTATCTCTTTATAGAATATCTTTTCATATAGCCACACTTGAGGTTAGGGCTTAAACATATGGGTCGGGGGGAGTGGAAAAACATTCTGTCCATAACATATGTGTTAACCTATTTCTGGTCTCTATTCTTTTTCATAGATCTGTTGTCTATTTTGATGCCAACACCATATTGTCTTGATTATAGTAGCTTTAAAGTAAGTCTAGAAACCAGGAGTGTGAGTCTTCCAATTTTGTTCTTTTCCAAAGTTGTTTCAAATTTCCATATGAATCAACTTTTTAATTTCTATAAAAATTCTGCTGAAATTTTACCTAAAATTGCATTGTTTCCATAAATCAATTAGATTGAATGGAAATGTTAACAATATTAAATTTTCCAATCCATAAACACAATATCTATTCAGCACAGGTTGAGTATCCCTTATCCAAAGTACTTGGAGGCAGAAGTGTTTTGAGTTTTCTTTTTTTTATTTTGGAATATTTGCATTTACATAATTAGAAATCTCGAGAATGAGACCCAAGTATAAACATAAAATATATTTATGTTTTATATACTCTGCATATACGTAGCCCAAAGGTAAAATTTGTGCATGAAACAAAGTGTGTGTACAGTCAACCATCAGAAAGCAAGCTTTAGGTGTAGAATTTTCCACTTCTATGTGTCAAAAATTTCAGATTTTGGAACATTTTGGATTTCAGATTCTTGAATGAGGAATGTTTAACCTGTTTTTAGGTCTTGCAAGTCTTTTCTCAGATATAGGTGTGAAAATTTTATATTTTAATATTATTGTAAATAAGATTTTTAAAAGTTGCTATTATTAGGTATACAACTGGTTTATGTGTACTGACTTTGTATCTTGCAATGTTGCTAACCTCACTAGTTAGTTACAATAGCTCTTTCTGTAGATTCCATGGGGTTTTCTATGTAGACAATCAACTCATCTATAAATAAAAATAATTTTATATCATCCTTTTCAATCTGGATACATTTTTATTATTTTCTTCTTATCATACTGCACTGGTTAGAACTTCAAGTACAACACTGAATAGACTTTGTAAAATGGGCATCATTCATGATTATACAGGGAAAGCATGTAGTCTTACATCATTAAATACAATTTTAGCTTAGGTTTGTCACAAACGTTCTCAAGTTTTTTGAAAGATTTTGAAACATTTTACCATAAATAAATGGTAAATATCAAAAATCGTCAAATACTTTATTTGAATCTATTATATTGGCCATAGATTTTTCTTTATTCTTTTTATTTTTTAGTCTGTTAATACAATGAATTAAATGCATTTTGAATATTAAATTTTATTAATATTAAACCAACCTTGAACTTTGAGGGCAAATCACACTGGTTGTGATGTATTATTCTTTTTATATTTTTGGATTTGATGGGCTAAAGCTGCACTAAAAATTTTGTATGTATATTCATGATGAATATAGGCCTACATATCTTTTTTTAATGTTTTTGTCTGATTTTTTAATCACAATAATGCTTGCCACATTGAATTAATTGGGGAAAATTTACACCTCTGCAATTTTGGGAAGTTGTATAGAATTGTTATTATTTCTTACTTAAATATCTGATAGACTCCCAATTTCCATTCAAGCCATGTCTTAATTATTATAGTTCCTCAAATGTGCTTCATTCATTCCTGTGCTTCCCTTGTAACTTGATCTTCTCCCTCCTTTGCTGCTAAAATTTATTAATATTCAGGTGTTAGTTTAAAGCAAGAGTTTCTGAGAGAAACCGTTCCTGATCCTCTCTGTATTTACCCTCCTCAGTCAACAACCTGTACCACCCTGTAGTCTTTCCATATTTTCTGCCAGATTGTAAACTCCATGGGGGTTGAACAATGTCTGTTTTTGTTACTACTGTGTCTTCACTATCTAGGACAGCACTTGTCACTTGCTAAATGCTCAATGAATACAAATATATTAAATAAATAATCATTGAACTTTGAAGTCCAACTTGAATCATGTTAAGACCAATAATAAAATTACTGTATTGTAATAATGCAATAAAAATAAAAGTGAAAATTCAGAAAAAACATTTTGGTAGAATTTACTAGTGAAATCATCTGGGCCTGAGATTTTCTTTGTGGGAATGTATTTAATTATAAACGCAATTTTATTAACAGAGGAAGGGCTGTTCAATTTAATTCTTCTAGATTGAATGTTGATAGTTTGTGTCTTTCAAGAAACATATCTATTTCTTCCAAATTTTTTAATTTATTGACAAAAGTTGTTAATAACATGTTCTAATTAATGTTTTTTTAAAAATCTGTAGAATATGTAATGATGGACTATCTTTCATTATAGTGAAAATTTACATTTTTTTCCCTGATCAGGGAGGTTAGACCTTTAGTAATTGTTTCAAATAACTAGTTTTAGTTTTATTAGTTTTCTTTACTATAGTTTTAATTTTCTATTTAATTGATTTCAACTCTGATATTTATTGTTCATTTCTTCTGTTTTCTTTACTCTTCTTTTTTTAGCTTCTATGGTCAGAATCTGAGATTATTAACACCATTTTTTTTCTAAAATATTATAGGCATTTAATTATAAATTTTCCTTTAACTTCTGCTTTAGCAATATTTCACAAATAATGATATATTATAGTTTTATTTTCATTCAGTTCAAAATACTTTAAAATTTCCTCTTTGATTGCTATTTGACAGTGTTATTCCTAGTGTGGTACTTACTTTCTAAATATTTGTTAATTTTTCAGATCTATTTATATTTCTATAGTCACCATGTTGTGCAATAGATATCTTGAAATTTTGTATTGTTTGATCAAAATCTCCCCATCCACAACTTCTTTCCAGTTCCTAGTAACTAACATTGTACTCTTTACTTATATGAGTTCAACTTTTTAGATTCTACAAATAAATGAGATCATATGGTAGATATTTTCTTTGTCTGGCGTATCTCACTTAACAATATTCTCCAGTTTTATCTATGGCATAGCAAATGACAAACTCTCCTATTTTAAGGCTGAATATTATTCCATTGTGCATATATATCACATTTTCTTTATCCATTCATCTGTTGATAGACACATAGGTTGATTCCATCCATTGGCTATTGTGAATAATGCACCAATGAACATGAAAGTGCAGGTATCTCTTCTCAAGATAATGATTTTATTTCCTTTGAATATATACATAGCAGTGGGATTGTGGAACCATGTGGTAATTCTATTTTTGAATCTTTAAAGAATCTTCATAATGTTTTTCATAGTGGCTGTACTAATTTACATTCCCACCAACAGTGTACAAGGATTCCCTTTTCTCCACATTCTTTATTTTTCACCTGTTTGATGATAATGATTCTGTTAATAACAGGTGTCAGATGATAGCTCATTTTGGTTTTAATTTGCATACCCCTGATGATTAATGATGTCAAGCATCTTTTCATATAACAGTTGGTTATTTTTATGCCTTATTTAGAAATGCCAATTTGGGTCCTTTGCCCACTTTTTAAATTGGGTTATTTGTTTTCTTGCTATTGGGTTGAGTTTCTTATGTTTTTTTGATACTAATCCCTTATCAGATGTACAATTTGAAAATATTATCTCCCATTCCATAGATTGTCTCTTCTTTCTGTTGACTATTTCCTTGTCTGTGAGGAAGCTTTTTAGTTTGATGCAATCCCATTTGTTTATTCTTACTTTTGTTGCCTTTGCTTTTGGGGTGACATTCAAAAAGCCATTGCACAGACCAATTTGATGGAACATTCCTCCTATGTTTTCTTCTAGTAGTTTTATTGTTTCAGGTCCAGTGTTGAAGACTTTATTTTGAGTTGACTTGTATATAACATAAGGGTAGCATTTTATTCTTCTGCATGTGGATATCCAGCTTTCCCAACACCATTTATTGAAGAGACTCTCCTTTTCCCCATTGTGTGTTCATTGCAATTTTGTCAAAAGTCAAATGATGTAAATATGTTGAATTTTTTTTGAGGGGTGCTCTATTCTGTTCCATTGTTCTATGTGTCTGTTCGTATACCATAAACATTCTGTTTTGATAACTATAGCTTTGTTGTATATTTTGAAGTCAAGTAGTGTGCTGTCAGGCATTAGTTTTTTCAAATCATTTTTCTGACCCTTCTTCCTTAAATATTTTATCCTTTGTGTTTCAGTTTTACTATTTATAATTGTTAAGTAGTCTCTTGTAATGTCTAAGCTCATGCTAACACTATGAAATGTTCTTTCATCTTAGGCATTTAAATTTCCAATTCTAGATAGTTGAGTTGGGTTATGTTTATATCTTCCATGCCTTTACTTAAAGTTCAATCATTCATCTGGCTTCTAGAACATATGGAATATAGTCATAAAAATTTTTAAGCCGGGCACGGTGGCTCACACCTGTAATCCCAGCACTTTGGGAGGCAGCGGTGGGTGGATCACAAGGTCAGGAGATCAAGACCATCCTGGCCAACAAGGTGAAACCCCGTCTCTTCTAAAAATACAAAAATTAGTTGGGTATAGTGGTACGTGCCTGTAGTCTCAGCTACTTGGGAGGCCAAGGCAGGAGAATTGCTTGAACCTGGGAGTGGAGGTTGCAGTGAGCCAAGATCCCGCCACTGAACTCCAGCCTGGCGACAGAGCTAGACTCTGTCTCAAAAAAAAAAAAAAAAAAATTAACCATTTCTGAGTCCATGTCAATTGATTGTTTTTTCTCATTTAGATTGCATTTTCCTGCTTCTTTGTACTTTTTGATTAGATGCCAGGCGTGGTGAATTTGGTCTTATTGGATGCTAGATATCTTTGTATTTCTATAAACATTCTTGAGATTTTACCTGGGACATTGTAAATTAGTTGGAAACCATTTGATCCTCTTAGGTCTTGCTATTGACTTTTATTAGACAGGATAAGTCCTGTGCTTACTTAAGGGCTAATTTCTCGTAAATACTAAGGAAAAATCCTTCCTTGACTTTTAACTAATACACTATGAATTTTGAGGTATTCTACTCTGGCCTTTCAGAATATGCATATTCCTGGCCCTGTGTGAGCACTGAGTACCATCCCTTGTGATCCTTTTCAAGTGGTTTCTTCTCTACCTTGAGTGATTTTCTCATGTATGCACTGAATGTTACTCAACTGAATAATCAAGGGGGACTCTCTGAAGATGTTCATAATTCTCTTTTTCTGTAGCTCTCTCCTTTTTGGGACTTTGCACTATGAATTCTAGCTGCTTGGGCTTTTCTAGGCACACAGATCCTTAAACCATGGAAACTTTGTCCCTGCACCCCTCTGTTGTATGACCTGGAAACTTTCACCAAGAAGTAATTATAGGACTCAGCTCTTTCGTTTTCTTCCCTCAGGGTTCATTATGCTCTGCTGCCTTATGCCCAGTGTCTTCAGTGCCATTGTTTCATACATTTTGTCTGTTTTTTTTTTTTTTTAGTAGTTTTATGCTGGGAGTTAAATCTATTTCCTTTTATTCTGAGTTGAGAAGCAGAAGTCTTCATTATTTTAATTAAATAAGCTACACAGTGACACAGAAGGCATATTATCACTGGTGCAGGTGGCAAACTAATAGCAGAATCAGTATAAAAATACCAAAATGAACCATAATGAGTAAAAGAAATTATAATAAAAATTAAGGCTTAAAAGCATTTTAATAAGCAACCATGGACTGGGGATTTTAATTTGAACTGTGGTCTTTAACAATTCCTCTGTTAAGTCTTGTCCCTAGATCATGTTTTTTAAAGAAATAATCCAACATTGCATGTCATCTATAGAGATATAGTATCCATACTAAGGAAAGTAATGTCCAAGTATATTTTACCCCCATCAGATCATATCTGGAGCTTTCTCTTCTACTCTAGGAAGTCTGTTCAAAAAGAGCATTTATAACAGAAGCAATTCTGAGGACGAATAGCTAGAGTAAAGAGTGGTTTACACAATTAAATATTGGATGTGATATAACTAAAATAATGAAATTTGATTTTGATAAGGGATGACTTTTTAAGTAGCATAATGTCAAGAAGAACTGTGGAAGAAGGAATAGGCTTAATGTGTACCACAAGATAGATCTAGCAGCTACTGCTCAGAATAAGCCAAAATATACCAGCTGATTTGGACATAAATATAAGAGGTTAGATATAAACATTATAGCTCTGAAAATATTACAGCAGACAGCCACTTGATCATACATTAGAGAAGCTATTGGGAGTATTATAAGTCTGGGAACAAAGTACCTAGAATGATCTATAGTTTTCATCTATCTGAATTTCTGCAGTCCGTTGTTCTGTAATATGTGTTCCTTGGCACTTGGGAGTTCTGCTGAGTTCTTCCAGAGACCACCGCAGGTGCTAGAGGACTCTCGAGGGGGAAAGATGCATTCTCCCACCATGGTACTCATCTCCATTTCGGTCAGGGGAGCACAGCTTTTAAGAACTTTATATGCTGACTTTCTCATGAGAAGTTGAAGAAAAAGTTTGGAGGAAGAGTTGCATGGATTAAAAATACTTGAAAACCCAGAAGTGATAGTCTATGAATTTCCTTTCTGATTCTTCAGTTAGTAATAATGCTAAAACTTTCATATTGGAATTATAAAATGCTGCAAAACCAGGGAGCTCATTTATTTCGTGGTCCCTTTTGGAATGCTGCTAAATAAAAATGCCACATCATTTAAAAGCTTAAAAGGTGCAATTCACACGTACAATGAATTCAATTCTATGGTGGAATTTCCAAGAATAATTGTTTATCCTCAGTTTGGAGTAGGAAATGAAGGATAATTTTTTCCATTTCACCTCTATTGCAAATTTATTTTTTCAAGCCACACAAAAAATTGTCTAAGATAAAATGAGAATTATTCAGATCAATTCTGCAATGATACAGGGAAGATGTGAAAGGAGGGCTCAATGCAGAGTTGTGAAGTTGAAAACCACTATTTCTGTTCTAAAGACACAGTAAGCAGAGATCCATCTCTCTTCAGGCATCCTGCTTCTCTGCAGGTTACTTCTGCTTTAAGGAAAGTACATTTTTAGAACAAAGCTTTTGTTTGTCTAGTTAGCGAGGTATTCTATCTTTCGAATACACAATGTGAACCACAGCCTAAATTTCTTAAAAACTAGAGAAGTAAAAATACAGCAATGGACATTAAGATCCAATTCATGGATGATATAGCCCTTGTCTCAAAGTGGCTGTATCAGAAATGGACACACACCAATTAGCACATGAAGTTCAACATTCACTACTGCTAGCTCTTTTCTTTGCTTCTGCTCTTCACATTTATCTCTACTTACCCACAGAGGTTTTCCTGCAGTCATCAGGGGATGAATAATAATTAAATTATCTTATAAGTGGCATTTGGGGAAGTCAGGGAAAATCTGGATTTGGCACTGTGAATTAAGAGGACCTTTCCGATATAATTTTACTTATCTGAAGGTCAGCTTCCTAATCTAAGAAAGTGGTGAAGTTTAAACGGACATACTTAGGTTATAGCAAATGCTCTATAATTTTTAACTTCATTACTGTTATTAATAAGTTGTTCTGTTATTGTCAGTTGCCTAAACTTCAAACAACTTTTAACATTTTAATCTTTGTCAACTATAACTTGCTTCTTTTAAATAACGATTGTACTTTCTTGTATTCATTTTTGGCTGCTAATAGCAGATTTAGGATACTCTCAAATATAAATAATAAACTATTAGGTTCAAAATTACAAATCAGATGTGGATCTCTATCTCATTTTCAGATGATCCTCTTCCCCATTTCAGGAAGTTCCTCCAAAGCACATTTAACCAAGACTTGTCCATTGCCATGGCCTATTAATCCAATTATTTCATTTCACCTCCATTTTGTTTATTGGTGATGATGCCGATCACAAAGAATGAATTTTACAAATTTATACAATTGAAGTATTCAAAATGCTATTATATATATGTGTGTATATATATGTGTGTGTGTGTATATATATATATATATATATATATAAAACCTTCCTATTAATATATTCCAACAGAATTAGAATAGCATTTATTGATTTATAATAATATCTTTCCAGAGCTATTTGGATATTTATAGAGAATTTCTGAAAATCAACACATTATATTTTGGAAGTTATTTTGGAATACAGAAAAACACTCACAAAAATGGAGCAATTTCTTCACCTTAAAATAAAACTGTATAGTGAGAAGCAAAAGTCTGTGCTCTGTTCCTTCTCCATGGGACAGAGTCCTAAAATGGTCAGGGGACTTCAATCGTCTGAGTGTAAAGTGCAGTGAGAGAAGTCAGAGATGAGATTGGAGAGACTGGCAGGGACCAACAAATGAGGAGCTTTGAACACTATACTACAGGTCTGAATTTTATTCTAAAGATGGCGAGAACCATTAAAAATGTTCCAGAAGAAGAAGAATCTGATTAGATTTCTATTTTTGAAAACTCACACTAGAAGCAGTATAGAAGACAAACTAAAGGTCGGAAATCAGTTAAGTCATGAAAGTAATTAAGAATAGAAATGATGAAGATGTGATCTAAGATAGCAGCAGGAGTTTAAAAGAGAGGACAAATTCTAGGATTACTTAAAAGTAACAATGAAAGGCCTTCATAGGTTTGAGATGATAGAAAATGAAAGATTTTGGATTACTCTGTATTAGAATTCATTTAAATAGAAAATATTGGACAAGAAAGAATTTCGAGGTAGTTCAAGAAATGATGAGTTTGAGTTTTTGAACAAACTCGGCTTGATATTCTGCTAGAAAATTTTGAATTAAACATATTCAGTTGGCACTTGGACATATGGACCTGGAGTTCATATGAGAGCTTTGGAGCCATAAAAATAGGATAGCTCAGGGAGACAGTAGAGTGAAAAGAATGCCCTAAAACAATGTTAGGGAAACCCTGATGTTTAGAAGAGAGCAAAGAGTCTGGTAAGCTAATCTGAGGATTGACCACAGAAATAGAACACCATGTGAGAGTTACCGATTTCAAAGGAGATTTCCCAGGAGGGAATCTTCTCTAAGATTTCAAATCAAATATAAAAAGCAATGTTTATTGTATTAGATAATTACGTCTTCTTTGGCCCCTATGGTAGAAGGCTTCTAATAGTGTTATGGGGGTAATATCCAGCAAACAGTGAACTGAAGAGTGAACATCCCTGAGGGCCAAGCCAGGGAAGCCTCCACTATTCACTGGCTATTCACTTCTCAACTGGAAGTTGAGAATAAATGTTTGCATTATTTCAGAATTGAGTGAGTAACAAAATAATAAATCTGTTTATATCGGAGAAAGGTTTTAAAGGAATGAGATGGGAAGCAGGCATATTTCAAAGAAGAAGAGAGTTTCATAAAGGAAAGAGCCACTTCCATTTGAGGGATGAGGCCCCCTGATTGACATAGGTCACTGCTGGAATTGCTGGAACTTCTTATTTCTGAATTTCCCCCTCTGCCCATGTTAAAGTAGTCCTTGGTTGACGTCCATGATGATGTCCCATCTTCAGAGTCACCACTGACAGCTTCCTTCCACAGGCACTCAGTGTTTGCTGAGGCAGCAGGGGACAGAATTGTACCACCCTCAGGACTGTCCCCCATGGTTCCTTTCAAGGGAAACCAAAGGCATTTCTTTTTGAAAGTGAAACAGAAAAAAACAATTATCAGACCCTGGTAGCTTAATGTGTGGGGTTGTTTAATGGTTAGCAAAGATTCTCTTGCCCACTATGCTGACTCCCTGAATCACAAATGTTGGAGAGGACACTGAACAATTCTGAGAAAAATCTATTCTTTCTCACTCCTGCCAAGTCCTTGGTTATGTCATAAAGAAAGCATACACAAATTCCAGAGCATTTTCTTATTTGTATAATTTGAGGGATGTGCTGAGTTTGCACTTTGTGATGTAATTTGTAGAAGGTATGCCACTTACAGATGTCATGGGACATCCCTATTCAATGTCTTCTATCACTGTTCTTTTGGTGGGAGGCAGAGGAGAGGAACAAAAACAAAATACTCCATGGGCAAAAGAACCATGATGTCTCATTTGTAATTTGTTGTTCTTTTCTGAAATAATCTGTCTCAGTCAAAGTTGTTTTTGGTTGCAGATAATGTAAATTCAACTCAAAATAGCATTAGCAAACTTTATTGGCTTGCATAACCCAATCGCGGACAGGCAGGAGGAGGTTTGTTTTTACCGATGCTTGGATGTAGGGACTAGAAAACTGTCTATCATCCACTTATGCTTCTCTCAGTTTACTGGCTCTGTTCTCTTCCACTCCACGTGAATTTTGTCCATGACCTGATAGGATGACTTTAAGTTTCTCTGATTCCAGGAGACATAGCTCTTCTCTCTATCATATCATATCATATCATGTAATATCATATCACATCATATATCCTGTCATATCTAAGGAAGAGCTCAAATTTGCCCCATGCGGGTGATGGATCTACCCAGCTCTTTAATCAATCACTGTGTTCAGGTGATAAGAACTATAATTTACCCAGCCTAGGTCATGTTCCAGGATCTGTTGCCACAGAAGGTCAACATGAGAAAGGTCATCATCTTTACACTGAAACATCTATTTGCATCTAGTTCAGCAACTAAGACCAATATTAATAGAGAATATAGCTCTTTTTTAAGATAAGGAAAGCATTCATTAAGCTAAACTAATTGCTCATAAAGTAGAGGTCTTTTATCAGCTGCCCAGAAAGAAGATAGAAAAAGGGAATTTAGATAGTAAAAAAGAGAAAGTCCTGGTAAGTTATCAGGGAAACCTGGGCTTTCTATTACTTGCTGTGTGACAGTGAGAAAATTACTTAATCTCTCTGAGACTCTGTTTTTTTTTCAGTGATAGCAATTCAGCATTAAAATACCCAACTCCTAATGTTCTTTAGAAAATTAAGTAAATTAATAATTGCAAAATTTCTTGAAGATGCCTGGCCCACACAGGTAGTCCATAGAGTTCTTTCCCTTTCTGCCATGTCCCTTCTGGGCTGCTGTGAAGACTAGTGGGCTGGGTAGTATTTTCACATACTGCTGCTAAGATTATCCCACCAATGTAATGAATCTTTTCTAACCTGTCCTAGAGGCAAGTGCTCAATAAATTCACATTGCCTTTGCTAAATCTATGTGCATATGACACTACTCAGTTTTTGACCCTGATTTTCAATCTCATCATGTTACCATCTTTCTCATTAGAAAGAGCTGCCAGTGCCATCCCTGTGAGCAGTGAAGCAAAGAAAAGCAATGAGGTAAGGAATCTTTCCACAGATACTATATGAGATGCATTTCAATTTGAAGAACGTATTAACCTGTGGCTTTCCAGAGACCTGGCCCACAGGATCCACATCTAGTATCCATGTTATGGAAGAATGTGTAATACAGTAGACAGATACAGACTCGAGTTGTTCTGCTAAGGATTAAATACCTGGATCTGACTATTACTAACAAGGTGCCCTTGATAAAGTTGCCTATTCATTTTGAGACCATTACTGGTCTACATATGCCAAAATAAATATGATAATAACTGCTTTGGAAAGCAGAGAGTGGTAAAAGTTGCTGAAATTGAAGATATGCACAACTTCTCGACTAGAATCAAAGCAGATGTGGTCAATAATTCAACTCCTGCAGAGGTAGAGAACTAGGACCCAAAGAACCCTACAAATAGCTAATAAACAAAGCCAGGCTCACACGGACATGATTCTGCCCTAGTTTGGAGGCTAAAAATTTTTACTGGGCCTGTGACCTCCATCAAACTTCTGTCTGAGTTACAAGAAAGGAGCAGAGATAGCTGGTCAGCCAGGACTTGCCTCAGGCTACTGCTGAGCAAGAACTTGGCTTTGTGATGCTGAAAAAGAAGAATGCCCCCAAATACCAATGTAATATCCGATTTTCAACTATGAACAGTATCTTGGTGAAGGCAAAACATCAAAATAACAGATATGAAAAGAAATTAAGAGAAACAAGGATGAAAAAAGAAATGAGAAGAGAAAAATATGAGGAAAAAGAAGAAATAGAGGGGGATGAGGAAAGGTTGATTAATAGGTACAAATACACAATTTGATATTATAAAAGAAATAAGACCTAGTATTTGATAGATAAGTGATGATAGTTTACAATAATCTATTGTATAATTCAAAATAACTAGATGAGAATAATTTGAATGTATGCAGGATAAAGCAAAGACAAATATTTAAGGTAATAGATATCCCAATTACATTTATTTGATTTCACAAACTATATGAATTATTAAATTGTCATATATGCCTTAAAATATGTACCTCTATTAAGTATGAATAATTTTTTTTTATACTTTAAGTTCTGCGGTACATGGAATAAATAAAAATTTTAAAGACAACATGCAAAGAAAAGGTACGATGAGGAAAAGTTCAAAAAAAATTCCTTTCATGCAAGGTGCATGAAGAAAATCAACATGAAGAACAATGGCCAACAAAACCAGCAACTGGGAAGCTTTACTACAGTTTTAACAACAGGAATGCTGAATCCAGACTGTTTAGTCTTGTATTTCAGGTCTGCTATTTACATGTGCCTTTAAGAAAATTAGTAACATGGAAACTAAGTACCAGATTCCAAAAGGGAGGTAAATCTGTTTGTGTTAACATGAAAATATTTCAAACACATACCTTTACTCTAGAATCAGGTTGCAGGTATATGTGTTACAATTAATAAAAGCAGTGTATATACATTGTTTAAATATATACACACATTTCATATGTACATATATGTGTGAAATTATACATCTGTGTTAATATATCTGCATGTGTGTGTATACACATACATCGCTCAATATATTATAGACCATTTTCTTTAAATGTCTCAATTATTTTCTTCTTCCCACTCCTCCAAAGAAGTCAAATCCTCAGGTTGGTATGTATTCTACTACAGCTTTCTCCCTGCATGCACAGTAATTTATCATAGATGTGAATATGCCTTTTTATTTTTTTAAATAAAATGGAATCATACTATATAAATTTTACTAAAGAAAATGCTGTCACTTAAAAATAAACCAAGGTAACTACTGTTAATATTTTATTGAAGTATACTATATATACAAATGTGTTAAAATCTTAAATTAATATTTGGCATTTCTTTTTACAGAAGAATACATCTGACCAAATAAAGATGTATAATATTTCTAGTCCAATGGCTTGCTCAAAGCATATAAAGCTGGTTAGAAGCACAGCAAAAAATTAAACACGAGATTTCAAATACCAACTTTATTCTCTTCAATTGTCTGGTAGCTTACCTAAAGAACAGTTGATAACAATTGGGGATCAGGATGGCCACACTTTATCAAAACCTTTCCTTCACTGTTTGAACATAGTAAAAATATCTGCTTGTCAATACCTCTATGTGATGATTTCAATATGTTTGCTCCCTTCATTATGATTAAGCAAAGATTATAAATAATCAAAATAAAGGTTTTATAAACTTTGAAATTTAGTAGAATGAGGACATGCCCTTCTCAACTTTATCTCCTTTTCCCTTTGCAACATATATTTATCAGTCTGGAGATTTGAAATTTCATGGTCTATTTAACTCAGTGTTGCTGTTTGTGATTCCGCAGTGCTCAGTAACATCACTGTACATTCCAGGCACATCCACATGACCTAGTTAATGAATGCCCTGGATGTTCTGAATAGATTTATGCTGATAATATGCTGTGTTCAGGCCAGAGCACAGGATGAAGCCCAAGAAGGGCTCATTTTCTCTCTTGGGTACTGATTTGCTATGTAAACTTGAATATTATATTTAGTCTTTTAAAGTTTAACTCCCCCATGCAAAACAAGGTTAATAGTATATTTGATCGTGAGGTACTTTGGCAGCCTTATCAGAAAAACATTGTGAGTGCAGATATTTATTGTTTATAAGGTCTATGAAATATTTAATGGCAACTATTTTGTTTTTACACAAAAACTATTTCCATAAAATGGATCAACAAATGCTGAACTTGTTAAAAATCATTAACACATGGAAAATAATTACAAGCAAGTAGCCTTACCTTAATGATTATGATCAACATTATTTTTAACCTGTTATTCGTAGGTTATGTCCATCTTATGTCACCAGTGATTTATCTAGAACCCATCTGAATGGTGCTTTACCTTCCATTAAAATAAAACATGAGGTGAAAAACAACGCCATCAAAATTTCAATTGCATTAAACTATCTTAACAACTAATGAAAAATATTAACTTCTGTGCATTTAGCTGCAAATGTTAATTGATTAATTTGACCCCTGGGAAATCAATTTATTGCCAGCAGCCAGCTGACCATCTTATATATCTGGCCATAATCAAAGTTATGTTCTCCAATCTAAACAAATTGCCTTACCAAAAAATATCAAGTATGCCATGACTATACTCCTCTCAGTTTTTTCAGCTTTCATTGACTAAGTAACACCAGGCAATAGTTGCTTTATTCAATAAACAGTTGAGTACAAATTTAGGTAATTTTATCTAGGGAATGAGAGATGTCAGTGGGAAATTGACAGAGGCTATCACAGAGACTTTCATTGCTATGGCCTGAGTTGAAAAGGAAAATCTAGAAACAATGAATCTCAAAGAATCTTAGCAATCTCCCATGAAACCATCTCATAGGGATATCTCCATTATCATGGCTCACAACAGGTGCCTGAAGAAGATAATTTTCAATGAAGATGAGCCCAGAGACAAAATTACAAAGATTACAGTAAATCTATTGCCATGAGATATTGATAGCTGTCATAAGTAAGAGTCAAGCCCAAGGAACCAGAGATAACAGAGAAATTGGAAAGAGATTTTGAGATAACCATTTCAAAATGTTCAAAAAGATAAAAGAACAGAATTAATGAGGCAAAAATGACAGATTCAAAGTACAGTGAAATGAAAACCTAGAATGCCAATATAATGATTGAAACTTAAAAAATAATACTCTAATTTAGTGAGCAGTAGTGTTGATACAACTCGAGTGGGAATTACTGAATTGAAAAATAGATCTGAGGAAAGATACTATGATTTATAAGAATTAATACTGTTAAAATGTCCATATTATCCAAAATAACACACAACCTCTATGAAAATTTCAATGGCATTTCTCACAGAAATAGAAAAAAAATGCTAAAATGTATGTGAAACCACAAAAGACTCTAAATAGCCAAAACAATCTTAAGAAAAACAAAGTGGAGACATCACATTTCCTGATTTCAAATTATATTACAAAGCCATAGTAATCAACACAGGATAGTATTGGCATAAAAACAAAGACATAATTTAATGGAACAAAAAACTACACATCTCAGCCAACCGATTTTTGATAAGGTCACCAAGAATACACAGTGGAGAAAAGATATTCTGTTTCATAAATGGTACTGGGAAAACTGGATATCCACACAGACACACACACACACACACACACACACAAATGAGAATGGACATTTATCTTACTCTATTCACAAAAAACTCAAAATGGTTCAAATACCCAAAATTAGGAACTGAAACCAAAAACTCCTAGAAGAAAACATAGGTGAAAAGCTACTTGATACTGGTTTTGGCAATGATTTTTTGGATATGGCACCAAAAACACAGGCAACAAAAACAAAAATAGACAAGTGAGACTACATCATACTAAAAAGTTTCTGCACAGCCACGGAAACAATTGAAAAAATGAAAAGGCAGACTACTGATTAGGAGAAAATATTTTCAAACTATGTATCTGATAAAGGGTTAATATTCAAAATATATTTAAAAACTCATATAACTCAATAGCAAAAGAATCAAATAATCCAATTAAAAAGTGGGCAAGGGACCTGAATGAACATATTTCCAAAGAATACCTATAAACGGTTAACAGGAATATGAAAAGATGCTCAGCATCACTAATCATCAGAAAAATGCAAATCAAAACCACAATGAATTATCACCTTGTACCTGTTAGGATGGCTATTATCAAAAAGATGTGATAACAAGTGTTGGCAAAGAAGTGGAGAAGAAAGAACACTTGTACACTGTTGGTGGAAGTGTACATTGGTATGGCTATTGTAGAAAACAGTATAGATGTTGCTCAAAAAATTAAAGATAAAACTACCATATGACTCAACAATCCCTCTGCTGTGTATATGCTTTTGGGAAATGAAATCATTACCTCCTAGAGATATCTGCACTCCCATGTTCATTGGAGCATTGTTCATAATAGATAAGATATCGAAACAAGACCCTGTCTCTACAAAAAATAAAAAATTAACCAGGTGTGGTGGCACACTCCTGTGGTACCAGCTACTCCGGAGGCTGAGATGGGAGGGTCCCTTGAGCCCAAGAGTTCAAGGCTGCAGTGAGCCATGATTGTGCCATTGCATGCCAACCTGGCAGACAGTGAGACCCCGTCTCAAAAACAGCAACAACAACAAAAAATAAATAAGATATAGAAACAATCTTAGTGTTCATATACAGATAAATGAATAAAAAATTGTAAGGGAGATATACATATATTTATATATGTCACACAATAGAATATTACTTAGCCATACATAGAAGAAAATAGTTCCATTTATAACAACACAGATAAACCTGAAGATATCATACAAAGTGAAATAAGCCAGACATAGAAAAAAAATACTGTGTGATCTCCCTTGTATGTAGAATCTTAAAAAAGTTTGAATGCATAGAAACAGAATAGACCAGTGGTTACCAGCAGCAGGGACGGGCAGGAAACGGGGAGCAGTAGGTCAAAGGTACAAACTTATGTAGGATAAATAAGTCTAGAGATCTAATGTACAGCATAAGAACTGTAATTAATAATATTGTATTATTTACTGAAATTTGCTAAGACAGTAAATTTTAGATGATCTTATCACATATACACACAAAAGAAGTAACGATGGAAGGTGATATGTAGGTTAATTTGCTTGACTATAGTAATCATTTAACTATACACATGTATATATATATCAAAATAACATGTTGTTACTCTTACATATATATATGTATATATAAACTAAAAAATTAATTTTTAAAAAAGGAAAACAGATCTGAGTATATCACCCAGAAAGCAGCACAGGAAGTTTTTTTAATTTATTGTAAATATGGAAAAGTAGTTATGAGACATGAAGAATAGTATCAAAAACCTCCAAGTTACATAGAGCAATTTTTAGAAGAAAAGGTAATATTCAAATGCTTAACCATGTACATTTTTTAAAATTTGATGAAAGATTGAATCCTTGGAAATAGATGTCAAGGTATAAACAAAACAAAGCCAAAAAAAAAAAAACAACAAAACCCTCAAATCATGTCTAATGATTCCCTTAGTTAAATAAACAAACAAACCCAACCCCAGAGAAAACTTAAAAAAAAAAACCCTGCCATAATAAAAAGCCAAAGGAAAGAGCAACAGATGGATGTTATATTTCTCATGCAAAACAGAAAATGTCATATAGTAATATCATCAAAATGGTGAAACAATTACTGTTCTATACCAGGCTAAATTATTATTGATAAGTGGGTTGAAGGGAAAACAAAGACTTTTAGACCAAACAAGAGAGACTAAAAACATTTACTTCCCATAGACTATCAGCTAAGAACTCTAGAATGAACAGCAAGAAAGAAAATGAATTCAAAGGAAAAGTAGATTTCTAGAAGCAATTAGTATGAGACTGTAAGGACATATATTTTTTCCTTAAAATTCTACCAATTCACATATTTTAGTAAGATTTAAAGTATTTAAAAATTTCTACTCTATTTTATAATTTTTTACTTTTAACATAAAGCATTTTTCATAAGAAAACAATGATATTTGTTTAAAATTGGAAAGAGATTCCATCACTTGGAATCCTCAGCCTCTGTCCACAGGCCCAACACCTTGGAAATTCTACCAGTCTGTGATGAGTGTTGAACCGGTACCAGTACAGCCACTTAGGTTATAGAACAATAAATTGATATGCGGATGAATTATCCAAAATATCTATCAGGAAAGTAATACAAGTAGTGCTATTATCTAAATGCTGGTGTCCTCCCAATATTTGTATGTTGAAACTTAACATGTGATAGTATTGAGAAGCAGGACCTTCTGTGAGTGATTAAGTCATGAGGGCTCCACCCTCACAGATGGGATTAGTGCCTTTTTAAAAGAGGCTTGAGTTGAGTGAGGTCCCTTACACTCTCTCACCATATGAGGACACAGAGAAATTGCCACCTGTGAGCAACAGTTTTTCACCTGAAACTGAGGCTGTTGGTGCTTTGATCTTGGATTCCAAGCCTCTAGAACTGTGAGAAATAAATTTCTGTTGTTTATAGATTACTCAGTCTAAGGCATTTTATTGTAGCAGAAGGAACAAACTAAAACAAGTACTATTGATCACAGAGAAGTTATTCTAATGTCAAAAGGCAGAGGTAGCCCTATATTAAAAGATAGAATACTTACTTGGATAAAGTATACCCTTGACGGACTTCACAAGAGATGGAGTAAATGCATGAAGAATGCCCTGCTTACATGTTGGGATGTTACCATATTAAGGTTTCATTGTCAGCGTGGTAATATTTCATAGAATTAGGGGATACTGAGGAGCCCCAGGATCACAGATCAATGTGAAGTCAACAGGACTTTTTAATACTAGAAAAAGAGCTCTAAATCCTGATCATTTCTGTGATGTTGGTGGAAGTGCCAATCCATGCAGATAACTTTGTATCTCCTCGAATCATTGTTTCAGGTTATCAGTCAAGGAACAATGCAAGAAAACACTGTAAAGAAGCACATAGGCCAGGCGTGGTGGCTCACACCTGTAATCCCAGCACTTTGGGAAGCTGGGGCAGGCAGATCATGAAGTCAAGAGTTCAAGACCAGCCTGGCCAACATGGTGAAACCCCATATCTACTAAAAATACAAAAATTAGCCAGGCGTGGTGGTGAGTGCCTGTACTCCCAGCTACTTGGGAGGCTGAGGCAGGAGAATTGCTTAAACCCGGGAGAAGGAGGTTGCAGTGACCCAAGATCACGCCACTGCACTCCAGCAAGTCTCTGTCTCAAAAAAAAAAAAAAAAAAAAAAAAAAAAGAAGCAGCACATAAGGACATCTATTCTATATGCTTTCATAACTATGAAGAGTTAGGAATTTTCTTGTCTTTAGTTACTCATAGCTATCGATAGGAGTGACCTTTACTAAATGTGGAATATTAGAGTAGACATTTATATTTATGCCCTGCTGTCTTTAATCTTTGGTCAGATAATAAGAGAAATCATAAATATGTTAGGCAAAAAGAGGAAGATATAAGAAATATCATAAAAACAACAACAGGCCAGGCGTGGAGGCTCATACCTCTAATCTCAGCAATTTGGGAGGCCAAGGTGGGCAGATCACTTGAGCCCAGGAGTGTGAGACCAGCCTGGGCAACAAAGTGAGAACCTCCCTGTACAAAAATTAAAACAAAAATTAGCCAGCCATGGTGGCACACACCTGTTTTCCAAGCTACGTGGGAAGCTGAGGCAGGAGAATCCCTTGAGCCAGGAAGTCAAGGCTGCAGTGAGTTATGATTGGACCACTGTACTCCAGCCTGGGTGACAGAGCAAGACCCTATCTCAAAAAACAAACAAAAAAAGATGACAAATTAGTGGACAAGAACACAACGGTTTTGATGAGGCAGTATTCAGCAGGGTAAAGCTCTTAGACAAAGGAGCAAGAGCTGCTAAGCCAGTTCCCTGTTGCCATAGCATTCTAGGTCAGTACAGACATAGAAAACAAATTCAAATGACAGACTAGAGCGAAGGGTCTTCAGTCCTTGGGCTGTGTTATCTTCCTGCCAGCTCAGTATTCATGTTGGGGTGGGAACCAGCCTGTTCTCTGGTGTGATCACAGACTAGATGGGTCAAAGTTTTTGGTGTGATCATATAATATGGTAATCTAGCAGCAAGTGTGGTTTTTTGTTTTTTGTTTTTTTGAGACAGAATCTCGCTCTGTCACCCAGGCTGGAATGCAGTGGCGCGATCTCGGCTCACTGCAACCTCTACCTTGTGGGTTGAAGCAATTCTCCTGCCTCAGCCTCAGAAATAGCTGGGATTACGAGCACCCGCCATCACGCCTGGCTAATTTTTGTATCTTTAGTAGGCACAGGATTTCACCATCTTGGCGAGATTAGTCTCAAACTCCTGACCTCAGACAATCTGCCCACCTTGGCCTCCCAAAGTGCTGGAATTATAGGCGTGAGCCGCCGTTCCCGCATCCCAGCAGCAAGGTTTTACACAACCGTGTTGGTGACTAATTGGGAGGCCCACTCCTGGTGTGACCAGGGCTGGGTCCAAGCCTTGCTCTTGGCTAAGGTTAATTTGCTTCAAGCCCTAGGTCATAAAAGGTTTCCATGGAGGTTTGCAGGAGGCCAGCTTCTTTCTGTGTCCAACCTGCAAGAAATCAGTCTTGGACAAGTTAACCTTTACCTCTCAAGAATATAGTATAGATTTCACAGAGACTATAATTAGAACAGCCAGACAAACCAATGGTCAAAGCCAGGAACAGAAAAGCTGGCAGAAACCAAGACAACTGGATATTTTCTCTTTCTCTCTGTCTTCTCTGCTTCACTATGCATATCTTCCTCTTCTCACTCTAAAGACCAGCTTCCTTGGTTTCTCCCATATATTACAGATGAGGGTACCTTCTGCCTTTGTATTTATTTATTCTTAGTTTCAGCAGCAAGTGCAGCTGAAGTCGAGGTCCAAATTTCATATAAATATAATAGTTTTCATAATAGTTCATAAAAATATAATAGTTTGAACTCTGTCTAAGTGTTCATCCTTGTTCCAATAAACTATGGCCCAGAGAAGCAGATTAACATACTACAAGCATTACTTTCCAAGGCTGGGAAAGGGAGTAGTGTTTACAGAAAGAACATAGTTATGACTGGAGGGATACTGTTCAAGCCAAAACCTGCCCCATCTGTGTACTTTATGTCAGAATATTTTGATGTTTCAATCCAAGCAAGAAATACGCCTATCATTTCTTCTCCTCTTTTATCCACATCCTCTCCATCTATCTAATCAATCATTAAATCCTGTTAATTCTATATCTTTAATATTTTTCAGCATCTTACACTATAAGAAAAAAGTCACACAATGATTAAATGGGAATCAATTATAGAAAACCTTTGCATAAGTGATGCATGATTTCTCATGCTCCTCTACAGGCCAGGGTTTCTCACAATATAACCTTGAGGAAGCAAATCTGTGGCATCCAAGTCAGCTAGGGGGAAAGCTTTCTATTTTTTTTCCTAATTTTTTTTCAGCCAAAACATACCCTGTTCTAGGTATTTTTGGTATGCCATCACATGATGGACTGCAGTATTGTACAATAAACATCTCAAGGTGTAAAACTAGTCATAACTTTAAGAACTTGCTTTGTGATCTAGGAAATTCTCATATACTCCCTAGGCCAGCTTCTTCGCTCCAAGCCAATCTCAACTCCATTATTCCAAAAGTCAAGCTTTGAAAATGTCACATCTATGTTAAATAATTCCTATCTATAAATTAGGGAAGTTTTAACTTTGGTCAAAAGTGGCAGAAATCCTACCAAATTAGCTCATGGAATTTTGGAAGGATTAAATAGCAAAAAGAGCTTCCAGATTTCACATCATACAACTTCTATCACTGACTGTTCCAGTTGAAAAGACCTTGGGTCAGGGCCTTCTCTGAATCAATAAAATCCAGTATGGTTGGGTGAGGTCCTGCAATAATTTATCAAGCTCAGAAATAACTACATGGACAATGGGATTATTCTAGAGAGATGGGGAATATATCTCTGAGAAGACAATTTATAGACAGTTCCTATGGTCTGTGTTCTTCAAAGTATATTCATGTTATTATTCCAGGCTCCAAATTATAAGACCCACAAAGACAGAAACTGTCTCTATTTAACTCACAGTTTATGCCTCGGGAAACAGAACTATAATTTATTGCTCATGCTCTATACTTTCACACACAATTTGAAAATACCACATATTTGACACTTACAATACCATGTGGAAGATGTGATTATTCTCTCTCTCTCTCTCTCTCTCTCTCTCTCTCCCTCTCCCTCTCCCTCACCTTCTCTCTCTCTCTCTCCCTCTCCCTCTCCCTCACCTTCTCTCTCTCTCTCTCCCTCTCCCTCTCCCTCACCTTCTCTCTCTCTCTCTTCCTCTCCCTCTCCCTCACCTTCTCTCTCTCTCTCTTCCTCTCTCTCTCTTTCCCTCTTTTAATGAGGAAACTGGAAAGTAGAGAAGAAGTAGAGAAGCAAAGTATAGTCACATAGCTTGGAGTTCAGATTCAAGTTGATTTTATCCCTAAGCCCATTGTCTTCTATCACATTATATGTCCCCTTAGCAACTTCCAGGAGTTCCTGGACACTCATAAATGCTTTTTGTGTTGGTGGAGATGAAATTGACATTTTTCTCCTTTGTGTTCTTTCAGGCATAAAATAAAACAAATTTGCATAAGCAGCAGCAGTTGAGTCACCCAGATAGCCACATATGGCAGCATGCAACTGCAGCAAACAGCTTGAGCAGACATGTATGCCTAGGGTGAAGTCTTCAGAGGCCCATGTTGCAGAATTTACAGAGAAGGAGCTCAGTAAATATTTGTTGAATTACTATTGAATAACTCATCAACAGCTAACACTGTCAGTTCCACATTCATATATATGACTTCACTGACAGTCCCAAGGATAACAAACGGGCACTTGCCTTGCTGAAATTTATTCAAGTCTCTTTGAGCTAAGGAGACCCTAATACAATATTCTACTCTATCAGTGTTAATACTTTCACACTACGGTACTATGAAAAAATAAAATAAAACCCAGTGATGAAAAATAGCTCATGAAAGCCACAGTGGAGCTAAAAATATTCCAGGTGCTTAAAAGTTACCTCTTGATAGTTTGTTATACTGTTTATTAAATGACTGATACATTTACTTCTGCATGCATAAATTATTTCTGACATGTAAATTTCAAAAAAAAAAAGAATCAGTCAATACAAATGCCCTAGCTGATACAAATGTGAACAAGAAGTAGATCTTTATAATTCATAATGACACTTCTGTCCTAGAGTGTTTGACTTTGAAAATTATTCATACTATGTAGATTGTTTTCCCAACAGTTATCTGTATACTCAGTTAAACCATAACTCTTTTGCTTATAAGATGCTGCAGCTACAGGATTGAAAGATTGATATCCCATTCAACAACTTCATTCAACAGTTATTAAATGACTTATGAGGTACTGAACACTAAGAGTTACAAATACCATGCTTTAAACTCTATGCTCATTAACATTATTTTGATTCAGTAAAATTCATTTTTCCAATAATACTGACATCCAGGTGACTATTAGAATATTTTAAATTGAGGTTTAATATTCACTTTGAAAGTGTACAAATATGTAAGTTATGACAATCACATACATTGCATAAGAATCACCACAATAATCAAGAAGCAATTAGGGCAATATAATAATAATAATCAAGATATCAAACATTTCCATTAACCAATAATTCCCTTGTGCACCTACACAAGCCTCTCTAAACCAACTATCAGATTTTTTCTTTCTGTACATACATCTATTCCAAAATGTCATGTAAATGGAATAATAGAGTATGTAATCATTGCAGTCTGATTAATGTGACTTGGCATAAAGCTTTTGAGATTTATCCACATTGTTACATGTATCAGTAATTCATTCCTTTGATGGCTGAGTAGAATTCCATTTGTGGGTGTCCCACAGTTTCCTCCTCTATTCACTGGTTGATAAATATTTGGACTGTTTTCAGTTTCTGGCAATAATGAATAAAGCCGTTGTGAACATTTATGTACAAGTCATTGTATGAACATTTGTTCTCATTTTACTTGAATAAATATCCAGGAGTGATTTTACTGGGTCATATGGTACTATTTAACTTCACTGATTTCTGAAGTTGCTGTACCACTTAGCATTTCCAACATAATACATAGAGGTCAAATTGCTCCATATTCTCATGAGGTTTATTTCTTTTTTAAAGCCATTTAAGGTTATCTAAGTTCAAATGGTATTTCACTATGACTTTAATTTGCATTTCCTTGATGTCTAATGAGACTGAGTTTCTTTTCATGTGCCTATTTGTCATTTCTGTGCCTTCTTTGGTGAAGTGTTTGTTCAAATCTTTTGCCTCTTTTGGGGGAGCTTATTTGATTTCTAAGTATTGAGTTTTAAGAGTTCTTTACATATTCTAGATACAAGACCTTTATCAAATATGTGTTTTGCAAATACTTTTTAGTCTGTTACTTGTCTTTTTATTATACTGACTATGCATTAAACAAAAGTTTTAATTTTGAAAAACTCCAAATTTTATCCATTTTTATGGGTTGTGCATTTTGTGCTTTACCCAAGACATCTTTGCTTAATCCATAGTGATGAATATATTTCCCTATGTCTCTGTTAATAAGTTTTATATTCCTAGGGTTTGCAGTTAGTTATCTATTCTGAACTAATTATTGTGTATAGTATAAGGTAAGAATTGAGGTCAATTGTTTTATATACATGTCTTATTGTTCCAGCACCAGTTGATAAAAAGATTATTCCTTCTCCATTGATTCACATTTTGTGCTTTTATAAAACCCAACTGGCAATATATGTGTGGATCCATTTCTGGAGTTTTTATTATTTTCCCTTCATCTTTGTGTCTATTCTTTTGCCAATACTGTCTTGATTACTGTAGCTTTATCTTAAGACTTGAATATAATAGTGTAAATTGTTCAATTTTGTTATTCATAAAAATTTGTCTATTGTAAATTCTTTGTCTTTTAATATGAATTTTAAATCCACCTGTTGATTTCTATTTAAAAATGCTGCTGAGATTTTTGACTGGGATTCCATTAAATTTATAAGTCAGTTTGGGGAGAACTGATATCTTAACAATACTGAATCTTCCAATCTATGAATACTGTATATGTCTCTATTTACTTAGGTATTCTTAGACTTCTTTCATCCATGTTTTAGAGCTGTTAACATACAGATTGCCTGAGTCCACTTTGTGCTGCAATAAAAAAAAATACTCAAGGCAGGGTAATGTATAGTATACAGAAATTTATTTTCTCATAGTTCTGGGGGCTGTGAAGTTCAAGATTGAGAGGCTGGCATTTTGTGAGGGGTTTATTGCTGTGTCATCTTATGGCAGAAGGTAGAAGGGCAAAAGAGAACAAGAGAGGGACAAGCTCACACTTTTATAACAGCATCAATCCCACCCATAAAGGTGAAGCCCTCGTGGCCCAATCACCTCTTCAAGGTCCCATCTCTTAATACCAATACAATAGCAATTAAATTGTGACCTGAGTTTTGGAGGGGACAAACATTCCAATCATAGCACAGATCTTGCATACGCAAATACTTAGGTTTAGATTTCCACAATCAAGAAGGTAAATAGAAGTACTTTTTCTATTCCTTTCACCAAGCACAAATAAAAATCCTGGCCATTATACATAAACTAAATATAGAAAAACTCTGAAAAATGGCAAGAAGAAGGTAGATAACCTAGGAAACTGGGAACAAGGAACAACATGATGATGAGCTCCTTGAATTTTCTCCATGCTTCACGTATCTAAGACTTGGAGTTAAAAAAGCCAGCAACCCAGAAATTCTAATGGGCATAGACAAATAAATAAATAAATAAACCCAAATAAAGCCTGCTTTCTCTAGCAAAAGAACCAGCAAAGGGGCATCCTAGCTCATTTGGATAACTGCTATAGTCCAGCCAAACAGCACAGGGAAGAGAACCAAAAAATTGTGGCCCCACTCCCAGCCATTTTAACAAAGGCTGAGACTAGACTTTCATTCTCACTAGACTATAAGGAAGCATTCCAACTTCATTGGCAGAGTAGTATCAGAGAAGAGTAAGTAGGGAGCCAGGACTTTCATCTCTGCTGCAAGCTAACAAATTTCCCTTCTCTTAGCCATGCCAGTGGAGACCAATGTAAGGAACCTAGACTTTCATTTCCTACCAGACAGAAAATGGATGACCCTCTGTTTCTCTTGGATGATACCGTAGACGACCATATGAATAGTCAGAACTCTCATAACCACCCAGCATTAATGAGTCCACCCACTTACCTGTAATGTCAGGGGGCAGCCCAGTAGAGAACCTGGACACCTACCCCTAACTGGTAGTAATGAGGCTGTGCCTTCCCCAAATAGAGTGATGTCAGAAGAAATAATGTAAAATGGAGGTTTAAATAAGATCCAGGGTCTCATAACATAATAACCAAAATGTCATGGAGTCGATCAAAAATTACTGATCACTCCAAGAACCAAGAGGAGCTCAAACTGAATATAAAAATGAAATTCATAAACTCCAGCATCAAGATGACAGAAATGTTAGAATTATCTGAGAAAGATTTTAAATGAATCATCATAAAAACATTTCAATAAGTAATTATGAACATATTTGAAACAAATGAAAAATCCAAATGACAAAACTCAATTGAAGCTTTTCGGCTGAAAAAAAATGCAATAACTGAAAAAATTTTAAAAATCTCAGTGGAAGGCTCAGCAACAACAGCAGCAGCAACAACAGCAGCAACAACAACAGCAGCACCAACAACAAAATGGAAAGGGGAGAGGAAAGAAACAGTAAATGAACTGAAAGATAGATCAAAAGAAATTATCCAATTTGAATAGTGGAGAGAAACAAAGCCGTAAATAAATAAGCAGAGCCTCAGAAACCTGAAAAACTATTTCTTTTTTAAAAAACTAAAATATTAGTGCCATCAGAACCTCAGAAGGAGAGGAAGATAAGGTCAAAGCTGAAAAATTACTTAAGTAAATAATGGCTGAAAACATTGTAAATTTGGCAAGACACATAACTTATACATACAAGAAGCTGAGTGAACCCCAAATAGGATAAACCCAGAGAAATTCATAGCAAGACAAATCATAGTAAAACCTCTGGAAACTAAAAAAGAAACAACCAAACAACATAATCTAAAGTAGTAAGAAAGCAACAACTGCTTACCCATAGGAGTAGGGGAATCTAAATCACTAAATCCCTCATAAGAAACCATGGGAGGAGGCCAGAAGAAAGTGGCACAACATTTTTCAAGTGCCGAAAGAACTGTAAAACTAGAATTCCACATATAATGAAAATGTCCTTCAAAAGTAAAAGGTAAATCAAGGTTCTCAAATAATGATTAAAAGAAAAGAAATTTTGTCGCCAATAGACCTACACTAAAAAAATGGCTAAAGAAAGTTTTCTACACAGAAAGTTTCTACAGAGAAAGTTTTCTATGTATGAGGAAGGTAGAAAATGCAACAGAAAGTAAAATATGAATAAATATAATGCATTTTCTTCTTTTGTGTTTTCAACTTATGGTTGATGATTGAAGCAAAATTATGACTTTATATGATGCAGTTTAAATATATGTAAAAAACATAATCAGGAAATTTATATTATAAATGGTGGAAAGTAAAAGGACTCAGGGACGTAAGACCTTCTTTAACTGGTAAAACCTCAGTGGAAGGCTCAGTGGAAGTCCACTATGACACCAGTGGACTGCCATAAATTATATACTAACTAGAATTACCACTAAAAAAAGCTATACAAAGAGATACACTCAAAAACCCTATAGATAAAGTAGAAATCTAAGATTTTCAAGTAACCCATTAAAAAAGGCCAGAAAAATAAAACAGAGAAATAAAAAAAAAAAACAGAGAAAAAAAACCAAAATAGAAGACTGAAACTCTAGTATAAAAATAATTACTGCTACAGATTAAGTCTATGTCCTCTCAAAGTGTATATGTGGGAAACCTGATCCCCAAAGTGATAGTATTAGGAGGTAGGGTCTTTGGTACATGATTAGGTCATAAGGGTAGAGCTCTCCTGAGTGAGGTTATATAAGACTCCAGAGAGCTCCTTTGCTCTTTCTACCATGTGAAGACACAGTGAGAAGAAGGCTGTCTATGAACTAGGAAGTGAACTCTCACCAGATACTAAATCTGTTGGCACCTTGACCTTGGAATTTCCAGCCTTCAGAATCATGAGAAATAAATGTTCTTTAGGCCACCTAGTCCATTGTACTCTGTCATAACAGCCCAAACTGACGAAGATAATTACATTAAATGTAAATGGTCTAAATACACCAATCTAAAGACAAAATTTGGCAGAGTTAATTTTAAAATATTCCTTAACAATATGTGGTGTATGAAAACTCACTTCAATAAAATAATGTAGGCAACTTGAATATAAAATGTTAAAAAAATACATTATGCAAACTGTAATCAAAGAAAAGCAAGAGCAGCTATATTAATTCCAGATAAAGTAAACTTTAGAGAAAGAAAATCAAAAGAGACAGAGGGACATTACTAATGATGAAAAAAATTAATCATTAATAATAAGACATCACCAAGACACCACCAAGAAGACAAAATAATACAAAATGTGTATGTACCGAACAATATAGCTGCAAAATAAGTGAAGCAAAACCTGATAGAATTGAATAAGAAAATAGACAAATCCACAGTTTTAAGTGAAGCACCTCATCTCAACAATTTATGTAATAACTAGGCAGAAAAGAATCAAGTGTATAGAATGCAACAACATCTTTAACCAAAATAAGCTAACTGGAAGATTGTGGAAAATGGTGGATAGGAGACAGGACTAACAAGCAGCTCCCACTAGGATGGACAGAACAGCATGTGGAAACTCACAGAATGGCAGAACAGCCTTGATCTTAAGGGGAGAGGGGAAAGGGTGACCACTCTATTATTACTTTCACCTTAGTACTGGAAGTTCTAGTTATCACCATGAGGTAGAAATAGAAAACAAAAAGCATGCAGATTGGAAAAAAATAAAACTATATCTATGCACAGATGATATGGTGGTCTACATAGAAAATCTCAAGAAAAATACCTATAGAACTGCAAAGTTAATTCAACAAAGATACAATTTTTTAGCCACACAAAAATCAATTGTATTCATATGCACTTGTAAAGAGCATGTTGACAATAAAATTAAAAGTACAACATCATTTACATTGCTCAAAACATAAAATACTAGGTTTAAATTTTACAAAACATGAACATGATGTATATGCTGAAGTCCACAAAGTACTGATAAAAATAATCCAAAGATATCTAAATAAGTGAAAAGATATACCATGTTTATGAATTGAAAGATTCAACAAATCTTTTATTCATTGATATTTCCCAAGCTTGACAAATAGTACTTGTTAACTATGTTCTCACACTTTCTGAGAACTAATATCTTCTCCTTTTCCTTGCTTTCCTAAAATTTAACAGTGTTTTGTGAGTAATTTTTATCTGCTTCTTATGTGCTTAATTGACCCTTTCAATCTTAAAATTTACATCTTTAGGCTACTGAAGTTTTTCTTGAATTGTTTCTTTGATAATCTCCTTTCCTTCATTTACTTTGTTCTCTCGAACACCTATTATTTGAAGATCAAAGAGTGGATTCTCTAAACCATTTCTCTAATTATTCATATATTCTCCCCTTTTTTCATCTTTTTGTCTTTTTGATTCACTGTAGGCTATTTCCTCAAACATAATTTTTTACCCTTCTACTGGGTTTTAAGACTTTTAATTTCAAAATTTTTTTGAGAATATTCCTTTCTATTAATAGTCTTTCTTATTTTATAGATGAAATATATTTTCTTGTTTCTGTGGGAAAATTATACTTTTTTAAAAAGTGCTCTTGAATTGTTACTATATCCTTAAATTTCCTATTCTTCTTTTTAAAAATATTTTTGTTATCTATTTCATGTTGAATTATTTGCTCAAATGCCTGATGATGTGCTGCTGTATATTCATATTAAATTTAGGCACTTTTGGGTGAAGAGATGTGTGTATAAGAGAGAGAGAGAGAGAGCACGTGGGCAAATATTGTCACTGGTTGATTTCATGATAAAGAATTGATCTGTATTAGTTTATTGATTCCCCTCCTGCCTGCACCCACCACCAGTTCTCCAATTGTTTATGTCTGTAACTCTTCTCTTTTGGCCTTATGCAATTCTTCAAACAAAAGTCTGGCAATCACCTGTCTGTAGTTTTTGACCTAGTTGTTAGAATTCTGGTAGTTGAGTGAGGACAGATGCTAGGGGTTGTATCATTTAGTATATGGAATTCCACTTAGTACTCCTGTTTTCAGTAGATACCCCTATTTTTAATTATGCTTAAGACTCGCAGTCCAGAAACTGTCACTTTTATCTCTACAGATAATAAACTTTCAGTTATCTTCCAGGTAATAAACCCTCAGTTATCAGCTTACATTTGGGAAAGATGAATAATCTGACTGCATGAGGTCGGGTAGGGAATGTAGGTCTCACTACTTCCAACCAATCTCTCTATTTTTATCTCATTTTTATTCCTACTTGCATAATTACCTTGTGCTGCCATTTCTTTTTTTTTCCCCCTGACTTTTTTATTCATACAAATTGGGCTGCTTTTGAGCTGCTTCCAATCCTAGCTTAATAATTAGTTTCTTCGAGGCCAGGCGTGGTGGCTCCCCCCTGTAATCCCAGCACTTCGGGATGCCGAGGCGGATGGATTATTTGAAGTCCGGAGTCTAAGGCCAGCTGGGCCAACATGGTGAAACCACTGTTTCTACTAAAAATACAAAAACTATCTGGGTGTGGCGGTGCACGACTGTAGTCCCAGCTACTTGTGAGGCTGAGGCAGGAGAATTGCTTGAAGCTGGGAGGTGGAGGTTGCAGTGAACCAAGATGGCTCCACTGCACTTCACCCGGGGTGATGGAGCAAGACTCCTTCTCAAAAAAGAAAAAAAAAAGCATTAGTTTCTTTGAGATGTTAAATCATACACCATGTGTCAGTTGTTTATTGGTTTTGAGGTTAATACTTTTTAATTTACTAATAAACTTCTTAATCTTAAAAAATTAAAAAATTGATGTGTAAGCTACTTTATAGCTTTTTATCTGGCAGGTTTAGGTTTTAAAACAATATATTTAATATTTTGTTGGACTTGGAAGAAAGTAGGTAAATAATGTATGCATACAATTCACCATCTTTGTTTTTTAATAAATGTTGTGTATACTCTTTGCAGAAAAACTAACAAATGGATATAGGGAGAAGAAAGAAAGAGAGAAAAGTAAAACATATTCACTGCATCAACTTTCCAAAACAACCACAGTTTAAAACTTGGTACCAAATATTTAGCTTCTAAAAATGTATGTTAGGCATTAAAAAGAGACACATGCTCAAAGATTTAGCAACAAGGATATTTAGCACAGCAATTTTTATAAGAAAGGAAAATCAGAGATAACCTAAGTGATTGACAAATAGTGCTTGTTTTTAAAAAATACCGTAATATATCCACGCAATAAAATACTGATACTATTACGAATGATGTTTCAAATGGATATTTATGTTGCTAAAAATTTTTAAAGCTTACAAAAAAATATGTAATACAAAACCCTTAAAGAAATATATTTACGTATATTTATTTTCATAAATTCCTGGGTCAAAACATTTGCACTATTCTAATGCCTTGTTAAGTGTTGTTAAAATGCACAACTTGGCAGCAATTTATACTTTCACAAATACCATGTACTCATTTCCTTCTCAAGACAATGTCATACAATTTTAAAAAAATCTTTTTGTGTATATTAAAATAGTATTTTATTATTTCAATAACACAGTGTAACAAGTCATAACTTTAATAATGGTTTTCTTTTGATAATGACAAGATTGCATTTTCTTATATGTTTATTGGGAATTTGCTTAATTTTTATTCCTTGACTTTATTTTTCTATTGGGAAGTCCACTTTTAGGTTTATATTAAAACATAGTCTAGAACTCTGTGAGTATTTGTGAATCATACTCTTTGACTCAATAATTCCACGTATAGAAATTTGTCCCAAAGAAAAATCTGAAATGTGAACACATATTTATGTGCAAAATATCTGTTTCAACATGAATTATGATAATGAAAACTGGAATGAATCAAATTAGTGTTAATCACTGAGTAAATTATGAACCAGCTATGAGATCAAATAATATGTACCATTAAAAAAAAAGTTTGTGAAGAAGTTTTTGTGAAGAGATTTTTAATTTCATTGGAAAAGATGAATAATTAAACAACAGTAAAAGTGTACAAAATATTCTTATATGTGTGTGCATACACACAGTGTAATCAACTTCTATTAAAACTATATTAGGCTGGGCGCAGTGGCTCATGCCTGTAATCCCAGCACTTCGGGAGGCTGAGGAGGGCAGATCATGAGGTCAGGAGATCGAGACCATCCTGGCCAACATGGTGAAATGCCATCTCTACAAAAAATACAAAAATTAGCTGGGTGTGGTGGCGCTCACTTGTAATCCCAGCTACTTGGGAGGCTGAGGCAGGAGAATCACTTGAACCTGCGAGGTGGAAGTTGCAGTGTGCTGAGATTGTGCCACTGCACTCCAGCCTGGTGGCAGAGCGAGACTCCGTCTCAAAAAAAAAAAAAAAAAAGTGTATATATATATATAACTAAAAAATATATATGTCAAAACACATATGTTGAAATTGCTTTGTAGTAGAGGAGCCAAAGATAAATTTATTCATATTTCTTTACACTTTCTGGTACTTACCAATTTTTTTACAGCTAGAAAAAATATGCTATTAAAATGCATAAATATTTTAGTCATTGCCTTCTATTTTTTCCCTTATTTTCTTTCTTTTGTACTATCATGAAATTATGAATATCTTTAATGCATCAGCACTAAGCAGCAGGAAGATAAGACCAATTTAGAAACAGTAACTAGTCACCTAGAAGCATTTAATACAACAACAAATATGTTCTGCATGTTAGCCATTTTAATATATCTTAGGAAAATAAAAATAAATAAGAGATAGAAACTCTTCCTAAGGAATTCACTGCATATTACGGAAATAAATTCTCTGATATAAGCCAGGCTATAATTTAGTTTTAGAGTAATAAGGGCTTAAACAAACTGTTAAGGAAAGTTGAGGAGAAAGACATAAATTCTAACTGCAAAGATTGGAGATTTCAAAAAGGAGAAGCTTTGTGGGGGATGACTGCTTACTTTTAAACATAAGCAGTGTTTGATAGCTAAAGATCTAATGGTCATGATGAGGAGAATGAGGATGGTGATGGTGATGATGATATCTTACATTAAACATTGATTGGGATCCAGACACTTTGTCTGTTTGTTTTGAACATACATTATCTTATCTTCACAATGGTTTTACAGAGTGGGGACTATTATTATTTCATTTTTACACACAAGGAAACTGAAATTTAGAAAAAAATAAACAAGCTTTCTGAGGTCATATAGCTTGTACATACTTGACGAGAAATTCAGATTCAAATCTAACAGATTCCAAGATGGATATATGAATCATTGCACAATTGGCAATGGTGTGAATGTGCAGAAGAACACCTAGAGAAATCATTACTTACATATGGGTCAATTAGATTCAGAAATTAAACATAAATAAAGTAGAATCCCATAGAACAGCCCGTCAAAACCCAGATGCGTCATTCCACTTGCTAAATCCTATCTCCCTGCACCCAAACCCATAAAGTTCAGGAGCTGTGAGGTATGGCTTACAACACAGATTTAATATTATAAGCTCACTGACATTTTAAAGTGCTTTTACCAAATAGGTTCACAAATTCGACCACCTCCACCCAGCTAAGACTCACCACTAAAATGAAACCTGTTTGGAGATTTTAAGGATCTTCTGAAATCAACACCGGTGTTTACTAATTGACTGGTTAACTAGTTTACTAGTTAAGCCAGAGTGCCTAGTTCTGGGTTTTCTGCAAATTGAATGATTCATCAATATTGAGAAGCATTGGAGGCTTCGATCCGATTGAAAATTTGCTCATAATTGAACGGATAATTAGATACCAAGTTTAAGGCTTTCCTCCTCAGGATTTTAAATATTTAAACAGGTATTAAATGGATATACCTCCGTATTTATTTTTGGACTACAAATTCTCAGTTCTTCACTGTGTGCCCAATGACAACAAAGGTATGAGTTTTACAGAGACACACTGGATCAGAAGTCAGTTGAACTGAGCCACTCCTAAGACTCCTCACTTAATTCCCATTGCTGTCAGTTTATCTCCCAAACTGATATGTGAAATTCTTGAGGGAAGCATAAAGCTCTGTTATGCTCTGTGCACTTGCTGCCTATAGGAAAACTGGACTCTGCTCCACTTCAATTTTCACATGTTCTCACTCTATCCTTGCTTCCCCTGGCTGTCAAGAGTCAGGGCTCTGGGAGATTTATTCTAGCATACTTTGATTTGATTTTCAGGTAAAAAAAACTATGTCCCAGTAACTTCCTGAACCTCTAGTTCAGTATGAAATAGCTCACCTTTCCACCACTTCCCATTATATAAATTATGCCTTTCCTGCTGGAAGGGGATGATGATTCACCAAAATTCGATACAGCTCTTCCCAATTGCAGGCTTGTTATAAATAGGCGAGTGGCTGTGTTAAATTGTAAAGATTTTAAAAAATATTTTCCAAGAGTAAAGAGCAACAAGCAAAGCTTGGAAAATGTAAGATAAAAGCAAAACACAAAAGACCTTTCTTTCCACTTAAATGGGGGGCTTTGTCCTGCTACGGGGTGGGGGTGGGTTTACAGCAGCTGCTTCTCTGCTTTTGTGTGAGTCACCCACACTTAGGGCACACTTAGGTCAGGGGATCTGGCTCTGGCACTAACCAGCTGTGTGGTTAACCCAGTGATTCTCAACTCAGCTGCTCTTTAAGATTACTGGGAGCTTTAAAAAATACTCAAGCCTCCATTCTGTGCCTGAGCCTCCATTCTAAAGTTATAATAAACAAATAAGAAGGGTAAACAGCTGTCAAAAACTCAGTGGGCCAGGAACTTCATGTAAATAGACATAATTTTTCAAAGCCCCAAAGATGTATATTTTCTCCCATTTTTCTTTAAACATGCAATCCTCTTAGACTTTCAGTTTTTAACATTAGAGAAACATGAATACATCATAAATAATCAACACTCTTTTTAACTCTATCTTAAAATTGTAGGACAAGTATTCATCGTCAGCGCAACTTAAACTTGGCTTTGGTAATAGAAATGCAACAGAGAGAATTAGGGTAAACTTCAGAGTACATGGTATAAGCTTTCCTAGACTGTACTGTGCTGTGCCGTACTGTATATACTATATATACTACTATACTATACTATACTATACTATACTATACTATACTATACTATACTATACTATACTATACTGGACTGTCCTATACTACACTATACTATACTGAAGCAGAACTTTGATTTTTTTTTGGTGAGAAAATAAAGTCATATTTCACAATTTTTAAAAAGAAACTAGAAATTCAAGAATATGGTTGAAGCACCTCAATTTTAAAATGTTGGCAATTCATTGAAAAATAAAATTAAAACATTATATGGGCCCACATTAGGCCAGCAAAATGTAAGCTTCGGACTTAGTGTAGACTGCAGGATGCCAGTTGAAACCTTGAGAAAACTGCCTATCATGTACTTGAAAGGTAGACCTGGATTCAGATCCCCACTATTTCTGTTACTGGTCAATGTCTGACAAGTAGTAACTCCTCAATCAATGCAAATATTGTTATTATTCTACTGTCTTTCTACTCTAACAATCTAAATCCTTAGTATAATTTTTTTATCTGTAGGATTTTTTGAAATACTTACCTGGAATCTAAGCAATCAGAAAGTTTAAAAAAAAGATTTTTTTACAGTTTATATATTCTACACATGATTTTTTAATGAAAACAGATGAGCGGTAGCAGGGATTTATTCTTGCAGAGTAATGCTAGTATCAATAAAGATCTCTCATTCCAACGTCTCAATCCTTTGACACCCACAACTGTAAGTAAAAGGTAGGGTTTATAATAATGACATGTGCCTCTGTAAGTCTCTAAAGAATGTCAATAAAAATAGTAAATAATGTCAAGTATTTTCGCATTAAACGTATTGTTGTGTTGTCTATAATCCAAATTCATGCAATGGAAATTTAATCCCCATTGCAACAGTGTTAGGAGTGGGGGCCTAATAGAAGGTGTTTAGGTCATGAGGGCTTCACCTTCCTGAATGGATTAATGCCACTATAAAAAGGGCTGTGGGAGTGCGTTCTCTCTTTGCTGCTCATCTGCCAAATGAGGACACAGAGTTTGTCCCTTTTTGCCCTTCTGCATTCTGCTATGAGATGACACAGTATGAAGGCCCTCATTTAACACCAGAAGCTGGACCTTGATCTTGGACTTTTCCATCTCCAGTCTGTGAGAAATAAATTTGTTTTTTATAAAGCTTCAGTATTCTGTTATGGCAGCACAAAATGACATTCCCTGTCTCAGGTACTCTGTTAAAGCAGTACAAAACATATTAACACAGTATTGTAATCGTTTGAGCAATAATGACAATTTCTCTGTTGCTGAATACTTGGTTAAATAAGCAAATAACCTGAAATCTTATGGATAAATAGAAACCTACACATTTTATTCCTAATTTTTAAAGATGTAGTTTTTCTTCATGAGCTTCTCTGAAGAAGCCACAGCACAAAATTTCTTATGCACTGAGTTTTTCTTCCTAAGCTCATTGGGATATTTAAAGATAGATCCAGAAATTTAAAAAAAAAAAAAGTCAAACCACTATGAAGCTTTCTTCTACTTCCCAGTGGAGAATGTGGAATGCTTTGAAGTCTGAAGACATAGGGGTTATCACAATTTAGAGAACCTGACTCATTCCTCTCACTAAACCAAGCATCTAAATCTCTCTCCATCCCCATTGCCAACACTCAGTTCTATGTCTTACCTAGGATACTTAATCAACCTCCTAACTCATATGCCTATTCCCACTCTTGCCTAATTATTTTCTATACTGTAGTCGGAGTAACCCTTCTAAAACAAAATCTTATTTCACCACTGTGCTTTGAAATGCTTGAAGATCCCTGCACTGATTTCACAATAAAGTTAAATTCCTTCAGTTCATGGCTCCAGCAGAGCTTCTCAACCTTACCTCTTATCAACCCCCACCTCACACACTGAGCTTCACCCATAACAACATCTTATATTTTCCTCAAAACCTCTTTGTTCTCTCTTTTATTTACTCCTGGACTTCAAAAATGCTTTCATTTTTTGGAGCATTCTCCTACCATTTAACCTCATTATTCTTATTTATATTTCAGGTCTTAGATTCTATATATATATCTCCTTCAGAGAAATATTTTCACGCCCTTCCAGGAGTCCTGGTACTTCTGCTAGCACGAATTATGACATGGCACTTATTACGCTAACTGTGACTTTGCACTTATTACATGCTATTATTACTCTTAGCTCATTCTCACCCCTGAATTGTAAGCTATGTGAAACAGATACTATATCTTTCTTATTCTTACAGTGTCAATCCTAGAGCCTGGATGTTTGTTGGATAAACATATAATATTGAGTTTCTTAGTGGCCAGGACCATATGAGATTGTGGGATTCTTGTAGGATGTTACATCCTTACTTCACAGGATTTTGTTTACATATTATAGAGCCTGATATTTCAATTATACTCTAAAAACAATTCCTTTTGTGGAGAGGGAGCTTTACAGTTTTCCAAGTGCTTTCCATGCCATACATTTCTCCCAGAAACTCTAAGAGCATAGGGCAGTTGCTATTATACCCACATAATAGTTAACAAAATTGAGCCTCAAAAAGGCCTTGTGACTTAATCAAGGGAATTTGAGTTGCGGAGAAAGACTTGAGCCTCGGATCTTTTGTTTCTAAGACAAAATCTTTTCTTTTTTTCTGGCTGCAATTCACTGATTTTTTCTTGCTCACTAGCTTTGTTTGTTTGTTTTGGGGAAACATGCGTCTGCATGCAGAGCAGCTCATTTCCCTCCTCAATTATGTCTGGCTTAACTGATACTGAAATGAGTGCTCAGACAGCACATCTCTAATCAGAGCAGGAAGACAGTCAAGACATGTTCTAGGTGGCAGCAGGAGGTGCTGTGGAATACTAATAAAGCTAGCCAAAGAACATCTACACAGTTAGCCATATGCAGAAAACTAAGCAATGATTCTTATTCCCTTAAATAGTCTCTAGAAGCTACCTTTACCCCCACCCAATTTTGTAGACAATGCAGTTTAATAAATATATCACTTTGTAAGTCTCCCTAAGTCTCATTCATTTATTTGACAAGTATTCAAGTAAATATTCTTTTATTTAAACTGGGGATATAAACAGATTAAATGAATAATTCCTAGCTTTGAGAATGTCATGTGGTAGTGGGAAGAATAGACAATAGATAAGAAAATAATCAAAGACAGCAATAACTGCTATGAGGTAAATAAAGAGGGTGTGCTACTGAATACGGTGAGTACATTCCTCGGATAAAGTGATGATTGAAAGCCTCTCTGAAGGGGTAATATTTGGACCAGAATATGGCAGATGAAAAGAACCCTAGGTGAGAAAGATAAGAGGAAAAATTTCCAGATAGGCGAAAGAGGAAGTGAAGAGTCTGGAAAGAAAAGAAACTTTTAGCTGTTCTTTGTATATTTCAGTGTTGGTTCAAATATCTGAGAAGAGCAAGAGAGAAAGTCCTTTAGCCCTTCCAACCTAGAAACAACTTATTTTTGAAGCTTTGGATAGGAATAGTGAGTCCAGTGATTACTGCATGTGATTTGCTTCCTATTTTATTTGCTCGTGTGTCTCTAGATTTTCTTCCTTTGGAAGGTAGTCAGTACTCATCCACTCTTACATATAACTATACAGTATATAGCAATTTAGTTATGTACATATGAGCTATAGAATATGAAAGCATGCCTGAAAAAGTTGGCTGCCTGTATGATTTATAAATCAAATTCAGTTTCAAAAACCTTAAGGAACCTTGCCATTTGGAGGTAAAGAAAAAGCAAATAATTCTTCTACGTTAAAACGACTCCAATAATGTCATCAACACTATAATCAAGTGGATTGTATCCCTGGGATGATGGTTTAACATATGCAAATTAATTAATGTGATACATCACATTAACAGAATGAAGGGTAAAAATCTCATGATCATCTCAAAAGATGCATAAAAAACCTCTGACAGAACTCAACATACTTTCATGATAAAAACTGTCAACAAATTAGGTATAGAAGGCATTTACCATAGTATAATGGTCATATATGGCAAGTCCACAGCTGCCCTCATACTCAAAAGTAAAAAACTGAAAGCTTTCCTGCTAAGATGAGGAACAAGACAAGGATGCCCACTCACCACTTTTATTCAACATAGTACTGGAAGCTCTAACCAGAACAATTAGGTATGGGAAAGAAATGAAAGACATCCAAATCAGAAATGAAGAAGTAAGATTATTTCTGTTTGCAGATGACAATTTTATGGATAGAAAGCCCTAAAAACAACACAACAAAATTGTTAGAATTAATAAATGAAATCAGAAAGTTGTAGGATTCGAAATCTCTGTACGAAAATCAGTTGCATTTTTATACACTAACAATGAACTCTTTTAAAAGGAAATTAAGAAAACAATCTCATTTACAATAGCATCATGAAGAATAAAATACTTAGAAATAAACTTAACCAAGTAGGTAAAATACTTGTAGACTGAAAACTATAAAACATTGATGAAATAAATTTTTAAAAGACACAAATTAAATGAAAACACACCCCATATTCATGGATTGGAAGATATAATGCTGTTACAATAACCACACTACCCAAGCAATGTACAGTTTCAATGAAATCTTGATCAAAATACCAATGACGTTCTTCACTGAAATAGAAAAACAATCCTAAAATTCCTAGGAGACTGCAAAAGACCTTGACTAGCCAAATTTTTCTGGACAAAGAAGGCTGGAAGTATCACACTTCTTCATTTCAAAATATAATACAGCTACAGTAAATAAAATGATGTAGTATTGGCATATACACATAAAGACCAATAGAGCAGAATAGAGAGCCCAGAAATAGGCACATGCATATCTGCTCAACTTGTCTTTGGCAAGGATGCTTAGCATACACAATAGGGAATGAATAAACTTCAATAAATGGTATTGGGAAAACTGGATATCCACATACAAAACATGAAATAAAACTGAACCCTTTCTTACACCATACCTCCAAATCAACTCAAAATGAATCAAAGACTTACACATGATTGGAAACTATGAAGCTCATAGAGTAAAACATAGGGAAAACTCTTCATAACAGTGGTCTTGTCAATGATTTTGATATGACACCAAAAGCACAAATAACAAAAGAAAAAATAGACAAGTGGGATTACAGCAAAAATCTTCTGCACAGCAAAGGAAGCTTCTGCACAGCAAAGGAAGCACAGCAAAGGAAGCTTCTGCACAGCAAAAAAAAGCTTCTGCACAGCAAAGGAAGGAAATAATAGAATGAAAAGGCACCTTATGAAATAGGAGAAAATATTTGTAAGCCGTGTATCTGATAAGGAGTTAATATCAAAAATATATAAGGAATGCCTATAACTCCATAACAAAGCAAATAACAGAGGATCTGACTAGACATTTTTTCAAAGAGGATATATAAATGGTCTACAGGTATATGAAAAAGTGCTCAACATTACTAATCATCAGGAAAATGCAAATTGAAACCAAAACAAGATATCACTTCACACCTGTTAGGATGGCTATTATCTAAAAGACAAAAAATAACAAGTGTTGATGAGAATGTACAGAAAGTTAAAGCCTTGTACACTTTTGGTGCGAATGTACAATGGTGTGGCCACTATGCAAAACAGTATGAAGAGTCCTCTAAAAATTAAAAAAAAAACTATATATTCAGTAATCTCATTTCTGGGTATATATTTAATTAAATTGAAATAGGGTCTCAAAGAGATATGTTCACTCATATGTTTATTGTAGCATTATTCTCAATATTCATGATATGGAAACAACTTAAATGCTCATAAGTGGATGAATAGATAAAGAAAATGTGGCATATACAAACAATGTAATATTATTCTTTAAAAAAGAAGAAAATCCTGCCATATGTGACAACATGGATGAAACTGGAGCACAATGTGGCAAGTGAAATAAGACAAATAAGTGAAATAAGGACAGGACAAATATTGCAGTTTCCCTTATATGAGGTATCTAAAATAGTCAAATTCAGAAGCAGAAGGTAGAATGATTGTTACCAGGGACTAGGCGGAGGGGAAATGGAGAGATGTTATTCAACAAATATAAATTTTCAGTTATGCAAGATGAATAATTTCTAGAGATCTACTATCCAACATAGAGCCTATAACTAATACTAGAATGTTCACTTAAAAGTTTGTTATGAGGAGGCCAAGGTGGGTGGATCACCTGAGGTCAGGAGTTCAAAACCGGCCTGGCCAACGTGGTGAAACCCCATCTCTACTAAAATACAAAAATTATCTGGGCGTGGTGGCGTGTGCCTGTAATCCCAGCTGCTTCGGAGGCTGAGGCATGAGAACTGCTTGAGCCTGGGAGGCGGAGGTTGCAGTGAGCCGAGATCACACCACTGCACTCCAGCCTGGGTGAAAGAGTGAGAGTCTGTCTCAAAAAAAAAAAAAAATTGTTATGAGGACAGATCTCAAGCTAAGGGTTCTTACCACAAAAAAAGAAGGTGAAACAGAAGGAAACTTTTGAACATGATAATGTTTATTATATTGATTATGGTGATGGTTTCACAGATACATACATATGTTCAAACCCATCAAATCATGTACATTAAATAAGTGCAGTTTTTTTCTATAACAATTACACCTTGAAAAAGTTGTTGAAAATTAAATTAAATACAGACATTCATACACACAAAAAAACAACTTCATGATGTATCGATTTAAATTTTCATATATTAGACTCATTCCTTAAAGAGCAGTAAAACTATTTAAGACCATTTACTCTCTTATCTTAAAGGATATGCAAGTCAGGAGACCCCAGGAGACAGTTCTTTTTTTCTTTTCTCTTTTTTACAGAAGTGTCAGTGTCCTGGGACACAGAGTGTTAAATAAAGTGAGATCACAAATATAATCCCACAGGTAAGTCTGGAAAAAAAAGAGCTCAGATTTCCTGCATCTCAAGCCAAGCCAAAAGAAGCATACCCATCTAAAAGTTCATTTTTAAAGGTGTCATGCTCATGTGCATGGCAAGACACCATTATCTGAATTATTTGCTCAAATGGATTTTATTTCTAAACGATGAGAAAATAGGAAACAAGAAACTCCAATTTCAGTGTTGTACTTGATTATAAAATGGCACCATTTTGAACTTCTGCATCCTGAAAAAACTTCTGATTAGTTTCATTGCTTATCTACCAGAACCATTTGTAAAACTCTTCAGCCCTACTTGGCCAGGAAGGTCATTCTAATGGTCGCATATCCAAATGTTCAGGAGAGCCAGTGATGCGTCACCCTCCTACTGAGTTTAATCATATTCACTTTGGGAAACTATGTGCCTTGGGACTATTCACTCTGTCGTGGTGCTATAATTTATCGTATGAGGCAAAGTATCCATTTATATACTGCCAGAAAATCCTCCAGGTAAAAAAATGAGATAAATATCACATTGTTTCCAAACATAAATCAATGTTTTCATCATTTAAACATGTCAAGTCTCTGTCATATACAAGACAAGGCAAACAAGAAAAAAAAAGAGAAATATAGCAAAACTCTGCATATCAAAAAAATTTAGAAGTGCATTTAGGGTATTGTAAAAGAGAAAACAGTTAAGTTTTTTCACTTGATTCTAACAGTAATCTTGCAAAGTGGATCATCTAACTGAAAGAGAAACAGACTACAGGAGATCCAAGTATCATGCCAAGGCTATACTCCTGGGAAGGAGCTTGTACTTTTTCCCCCTTTACCACAAATAGCTTATAATGCAATATGAAAGAAAATGCATGGAAGTTACAAAACACCTGTAAAAATAATGTGCCAGCAGGTGTAGGAGTGAAATTGGTGAAAGCAAGAATACATCTACTCATAGGCTTTTCATCTGTTTTTCTCTGTCCCAGAGTGAGGAACTTCAATAGAGTTGTGGTTTTCTGGGAAACCCTGACTATAGGTCCATCAGGAGACCCCTTTGTAAATTTTATTCTCAGGGATGGTAACATTTTTTCCCCACAGAAGACACCTGCCCACTGAAGACCCTGGCTCCTGATAGGCATAGAGACCTTACAAGGCTTTTATTTATCTAATGCTATGCAGCATCCAGCTGAGTAGTGTAAAAGAACAGCCATTTAGTTATCTCTCATGATTCTTTGGCTTGACTGGGCTCAGCTGGATTGTTCTTCTGCTCCACACAATTTCATCAAAGAGCTTTAGCCATCTAGGGGCGAATTAAGGTGGAATGTCCAAGTGGGCTTACTAACGTGGATGGCAGTAGATACTGGCTCTCAGCTGGGAGTTCAGCTGAGGCTGTCAGCTGAAGTGACATGGCCTTTCCATGTGGGTTGAGTTTTTCACAAAATAGCTATTGAGTTCTATTAGGGGCCATTTTGATAAAAACATTCCAAAAGGAAGTTGCTAACTCTCTAATATCTCAGTTTTGAAGTCCCAGTATGCCATTTTCACCGCTTTCTGTTGGCTCATCTAGATTTAGAAAGAAGAAAAATAAGTTTTACTTCTTGATTTGAGCATGACCATGAACATATATAGAGGAATTGTTGGAAGTCATCTTTGGAGTCCAGCTCCTATAAAAGTTGCACCTTTGACAGATAGAGAAGCTATAGATATGATCACCTCCGAATGCCCCCAAAATCTTCCCATTAAGGGACACTTGGTAAATATCATACATATTGAGTATAAAAGTGTCCTGTTGACATAGAGCCACAAATGACTATAAGCAGATATAAACATGGGAGACTTTTTGAGGAGTTGAAATTTTTATACTAATCTGACTGAGATGGTTACATACAAATTGAACAACCTCAATGACCTAATATTCAATTAATGTTTATATAATTGAAGCAAATCAGACCTTAATCCACAAACTGATATCTCCCCAACTTGATGTTTTGAGCATAGAAAACACAGTGTATTTATGTGTCTGAATTTTGTTGTAAAGAAAGCTGTAAAAAATCAGGCAGACTATATTTTAAGGTTCTAAGATGGATTCCTGTCAATCACAATGAATTGATCTAGACCAAAGCTTTAAGAGTATCCAAATAACATATTTGTGACAGATGGTGGAGCAGATGACTAACTATGCATTACGTTGGGGTCTTGCCAAACAGTCTTTTGAGTACAATCTGTCGAGTGATTGGAAATGACTCATGGATTTATACAATGCATTATATTTACAATGAAATAAGACAAAGAAATATCTCTAGATGCCAAAAATGTATCTTTTGTGAAGAAAAATTTTAGACAATGCAACATTACATACATCCTCATAGCAATTTCCTATTGTTATTTAAAAGTCATGACCTGAGGCTGCAGTGAACACAGCCTTAGCATTTTGATAAGACAAGACAGAGCCAGAATACCAAGCAAGTGTGAAGCAAGCATTGTCTCTGAACCAGACAGAGATGAGGGCAAAGGAAAGGGTGGGGAGGAAACAAAGAAATAAATAAAATTACTCATAGTGGATACTCTCAAGCAGGTCCAATCTCAAATCTGCTCTAAGAACCAGATGCTGTGCACACATAAAGTATAAGAAATTTCTTACCTTAATATTCTTAAACATAGCTGTGTGTAATGATTCTTTTTAAATATAGCCTTTTAGATAATTTGAATTGGTGGGAGAGCAAATTCCCTAAAATCTCGTCCTAAAATAGTCCTTGTCATTCCTGTTATTCAGGCCTTTGTTTGTTGGTTTATTCATTAATTATTTATTTATTATAGCACAAGTAGTTTAACAGCTATAAGAAAGTCCAACAAAATAGAGATTGTCATTAGAATTACTGCGGTTTTGTTAAAGATTAGGTAGGATTAGAGGGTGAGAAATGGCATTGGGTGGGAGAAACCTCTGACTCATTTTAAGGCTTTTGATGCAATGCAGTTGATTATAATTCCATTCAGGCATTATATACCAGGGAGAGGAGTTGGAGGGTTGGTAATTTAGCTATAGGAAATTTCTGCACAAAACCGACCCAATGAAACTTCCCTGGTGAGGTCCATCTGCCTCCTCCAGACGCTCTGACCACCAGGATGACAACATTCCCATTGGTCCTTCTGTACCCTGATCCTTATCCATATATTGCCTGCTCCCTCAAGGTGCTGTGCAAGTTAAGAGCAGTCTATCTCCATGGCTGAGACACACACTGGTTTGGCTACAGTAATACCATGTGTGACTGAGAGGTTGTAGGGGACAGCTTTATTTTAATACATCAGGTTTGCCAAGAGTATTGTGCCTCTTCTTCAACACAATCTAGATGATCTTAAATGTAATATGAGTCTCAAGGTAAATGAGAAATCAATCCTACATTCATCAATACCAGCAATTTACTACCCACTCCCCTCACAGTCCTGTGCAAACTCCCAGTCTAGTGGTGGGTGGAAGGCCACCATTTCATCAGGTCTCTCTTTGCAGAACTTTAGGCCTCATTTCAGTCATAAAAACAAAAATAAATACTGGTGACTTTGAGAAGAGTTAAGGCCCTTGGACTGCTGTCATACACACACTGGGGACAGGAGCCCTATTCAAGGCCATCTCACTGCTGAACTTTAGCAATTAGAATGACTTTAGCCACTTGGCCATTAAGTATGCTATTTATGGGAGGAGAGGAGGGAAGAATCCAGGCTTAACAAACTTTAGTAAGAAAAATGCCTTTATTTGTACTCTTCCTGCTGGAGATGCTAACAGAGCAAACTGCATCACATTTCCTCTTTCTGCCCCAGGCACTGTGCACAGTTTGCAAGTAAGGGAGGGGGCAGCTAAGTGCAGCATCTGAGTCCTCCACGAGGGATTCACCAGGATTGAATCCCTCCAGCTCCCCACTAGAGGAAACAAGTCAGAGAAAGATGCATTCGGATAGAACACTGGGCAGGTGGAAGGAAAAAGAGCTGATTCCAAATGCAATACAAGGTTGTGGTCACCACACGGGGTTAGCATTTGGTTCTGATTTGAACTGGAGACTGTATAAACTGAAGATGCAAGAAACCATACTCAGGTCAGCAGCTTCCACTGGATGGACCTAGAAATGCTGACTACCCTTTAGATAACTGCCCCTGAGGAATGCCACATAGGACGTAGGACTTGCAGCAAACAAGCTGAAGTTCTGGTCACTCTGTTCTTGCAGAAGAAAACCTTTGCCCCTGTGCACAAGAATGACTCCATTCTCAGGAACCTCCTCCAGGATGTAGATAAGATGATGACTTCCATTTGGCAGCTGGGAAGGATGTGAAGAGGGCTGAGGTCACAACAAGTGCCTAAAGTAGCTCACAGTCAGAGCTTCTGGACCCCTGATGACAGTCCATCCACTCAGAGGTCTTCCTCAACTCTGCAATCCAAAATAACCCCCTCCCTACATACTCTATCAAAATCATTTTCTTTATACCACTTGTCGCTATCTGACATATTCTTGTTTATTCATTTTTACTGCTTGTTATTTCCTCTCACTAAATGTAAATGTTAAGGGAACAGTGTCCTGTCTTTTTTCACTGCTTTCTTTCAATTTTTAGAACAGAGTCTGGCACTAAGTCAACATTTACTAAATTTTGTTTGTGTGTTTCCCTTCTATTTTTCTTCTGCATATATATTCACATACATTTGCAATTATCCTATGCATATAACTTTTTAGATTTTTTTCTACTAAATATTATAAGCACTTATGTAGCCACAGCTTTATAATGATACATATAAATAACTGCTTAATATTTCTTCTAGCTGAGTGCCATAAGTATACCACTATTTCTGGACAACTAATTTATTTCCAGTTGGTTTATTGTTATGACAAAACTTTTACTAAACATGTATTTGATACCTTTTTGCATATAATTTACCTTCTTTTGAATTACTGTATTTCCTTAGAATGAGATGGCTAAACCAATGGATTTAAACATTTTTTGATCATTGATTCATAGCAACCAATTCCTTTCAGAACATGTACCAATTTAAAGATGTGAGGCAATGCCCCTATGGCATTCGTAACTTGATTTGTTTCTTCACTGTTTATATTCTCTCAATTATCTCCAACAATGAGGGTAGGATAACACCTATCTTTATTTCTCCATGTGTTAAGTGACAACAGAGATTCATCCGTTGTGGAGAAAGTTATACCTAAGAGATGACTTAGTTTACTAAGCTACCTTCAGGCCTGCATGTCAAGTTTAAGAAGATTCCAAGCTTGTAAGAGATAGTTAAGGAAGGGCTATGTGGGGTTACATTTCTGCCTCGCAAAATGGCTGCCAGATGATAAGAGGAGTTGATTGGAGGTGGCTACAATGACAACCTTCTGCCCCGAGCTGCCCCATGTAGCTACATAACTTGAAGAAAATTTCCAAGCTTTGCATGAGCCTTACTAAGAGATTCACAGATACATGAAAGAAACTTCCACTTTGCTTATCCTATTGTCCACAACTTTGCTCAATCCTGAATGATATCACAAGAGGACACTTTGCCAGGTATCAGTTCACTGTTAACCAAACAGAATGTGAGTGTTTCCATTTACCACCAGTTTGAAGTCATCGATGAATTTTCTTTGCCTTTCCCCTGAGGACCACAAAGGGCTTTTAATATATTGGTTTGTTTGTCCTTGGTACAATAGGGGATTAAAAAAACATAATTATCCCCATTTTTCATGTTTGTTGAAAGTGAATTCAGATGAAAACACTAGCTAGTGTTTAGATTCTTCCATTTTTAAGTCCAGGATGTATTCTATTTCATTTGTTAATTTTATTATAAATTTATAGGTCCCCAAAATTTCCTATTCTTAAACTTCATCACTTTTGTTCAATTGCCTTGAGATCAAAACAGTGACTACAACAGTCATTCCTAACACTTGGCATTTTGAACAATGCTGCATATTGAACAAACTACAAATGTCGGCAATTTCATAGAGTTTATTTTATTCAGTCCACATGTAGCTAATTTTTTCAGCATAACAATTAGCTACAATTTTGATTACATTCCACATATTTATGCTCTTTGTGTCTTTTCATTGATTTTTCTTTGTTTCAGAACATTTGTTTCATTTTCTAATTTAATGTTGATTAGAGATTAAAGCAATGTGAAAATGTATCATTTCTACTCTGCCAGAAACTAAAGTCTGAATATTTCCTGATTTTTTTCCCCTTAGTGTGAATCATTTATCAGTTTCTCTTAAAGGGCATGTAGTAACTATTTAGATAAAATTCAGTGTGAAACATTTAGAGATTTAGGAAACTCTAGAAGTCTTATCTTCTATACTTAGTTCCTCTTAACATTACAGACTATCAAATAGAAATATCATCGTTAACTTCCATTTCTTTTTGCTTATTTTTTCAATTCATAGGTTTTAAATATTTATATTGATAAAGAATACTAATGCTCTAAAATACTGAGAAAAATACTAAAACATTGGCTGATTACAGCAAGCTTCCTCTGCTACTTAAGTCTCATATCAATAACCAGTTCTAATGAAATTTATTTCAGGCATGTCACAGCACAATAAAAAAAAATTCCATTATTATGCAGTAGCTATGATTATCTGGCTAGAACTTAGTTTGACAGAACGGTTAGCTGGTCAAAAAGAAATGTTTTTGCTCATAATAGTTTTTACTGATTTTCAAAATCTTGACTTCTCTGCCTGCCTTCCTTTCTCCCTACCATTCGTATTTCCTTCAGACCTTTTTTGAATCTCATATATTTACTGGCTAACTGACTTTCTAGATATAAGTTGTGTAGAAAAGAACTCGTTTCCAATGAAAAAACATCCATTTAGTTTGTAAAGAGGCTAACTTAACTCTCAGTTCTCCAAGAGCTCACTCTTCTGAAACTTCCACTCCAGTCAGGGACAAACACCATGCAGCCCCAATGAAACAGCCCACTATGTAGGAACAGACTTAAGCATAATGAATGGAGGCTGGAAAGGGCTGGGAGCAGCTGGACTTTTCATTCTTTTCCTGAGTCTTCCTCTGTTGACAGTGTTCTGACAAATCCCTAGGATGCCACTGGGTTCCCAGGAAAAAAAAAAAAAGCAGAAAAAGAAACTTTTAAATTAGTCCTTTAGTTGGTTTAGTGCACATTAACCACTTGATGATAGTATAAATAGTTGTGAATGAGCAGTGTGTAAGACCGCTGAGCTAGAAGATTTCATATTTTCAGGCAGCCACAAAATAAGTTCTACCAAACAATTAACCCAAAGCTAAATGCGGCAAGAGAAAAATATTTCTAGATGAACGCATTGACTATTCTTTAACTTTCACCCATAGTTAACAGCATTTCATATCACCTCTGCAAACACATCAGAGAAATAATTCTAGTTCGGGAGTCAGAGCCAGCTATTTTTGTAGCTGGAACACCATTTATGCCTCCTTCACAGCATTTATCAACATTGCATTCACATGATTGTTTGGTGACTCACTGCCTCTCCAGACCCTAAGATCTTCAACAAACAGGACCATATTTTGTTATACTGACTGCCTTATCTCCAGTTTTGAGCATAAGCAGGCCAGAAATAAATATTTTTGAATGAGTGAATAGAAGTGTTAATGAAAAGAGTCAAACTCTGTAAAATACTGGAAGAGATTTATTTTGAGCCAACAATGAGTGACCATGCCCCATGGCACAGCCCTCAGAAGGTCCTGAGAACATGTGCCCAAGGTGGTTGGGGTACAGCTTGGTTTTATGCAGTTTAGAGAGATATAAAACTTCAATTAAATACATTTAAGAAATACGTTGGTTTGGTCCAGAAAGGTGGGACAACTTGAAGTGGGGGCTTCCAGCTTATAGACAGATTTACAATTTTTCTAGTTGACAATTGGTTGAGTTTATCTAAAGACCTGGAATTAATAGAAAGGAATGCCTGGGTTAAGATAAAGGATTGTGGAGACCAAAGTTCTTATTTGCAGAGGAAGCCTTCAGGTAGTAGGCTTCAGAGAAAATAGGCTGTAAAAAGTTTCTTATCAGACCTAAAGTATGTGTTGATGTTAATGATGGAGAGGTATAATGAGGCATACCTGATCCCCACTTCCCATCATGGCCTGAACCAGTCCTTCATGTTAAGTTTTAAGAGTGCCCTGGCTGAGGAGGAAGTCCATTCAGGTGGTTGAGGTGGGTGTAGAATTTTATTTTTGGTTTACAGATTAAATAAGTGAGTAAAATATGATTGAGAGGTCAGTCCAAGTCTTAACAATATCCATAGAAAATATGGAATACATGGCAGTTGTTTATCACACAAATAGGAGGGAAGATACACACCAAAAAAATCTATCATCTTCATGCTCATTTGTAATGTGTTGGCAAATATATTAACTTTTATCAAATGTCTTATCCTTAATCAAAACAAATATGTGTTCTCAAAAGCTTCTTTTTCTGTATGTTTGTGTTTTAATACTTAACAGAGGTGCATTAAAAAACCTTAATTATACACAATTTTCTAATTCTGTGTTAATTTATTCAGACATTTCAACATGAGAGCACCTGGATGAATTTTTAAATGAGGGTCCTTGCTTTTCTTCTTCCCTGCCTCCCCCCACCCCGCATAATATCATTGAACTCATCTTTTGTTAATTGCAAACAGTCTCCAATCTATATTGATCCTGGGTTCGTATGTTTACTCAGAAAATAGAAAAACGTGCTCCCACACTGCTGATTGCAATACAAATTAAGCACCAGCTGGGTTTGTGAGTCACTGGTTAAGGATTACTGCAGCCTTATAGCACAGCGTAATTCCAGTGGTGAGATCAATCACGTAAAATAAACACTAAGCATGAGCAGAAGAGTTTTTTTCTGAGGGGTTTCAGAAGTGAGGAAGAAAAGTTGTGAACAAAAATAGAATTGAAGGAGGCCATCTTTAGCTGACCATCACTGCTGTTTTAACTTTCTTGCTTATGAAAGGCTGTTTCTTTTCAAGAGTAATAGAGACACACTCGGTGTGTTAGTGCCATTTGTCTAACTCATGGCAGCCTGTGAGGAACTCAAAAGGGAACATCTGAAGACAAAGCAGCTGACTGGAAGTCTTAGCTCTGCTACTTCCTTGCTCATTTCATGACTCGGAATAACTACTAAGTGCCTTTGAGTCTTATTTAGCCCATTCACCTGTCAGAGCCCAGACCCTGCAACTAGCTGGGTGACCTTGAGTAAATTACTCTCTGTGGCTAAATTAATCATCTGTGACTGTTTCCATACACATAAAATGGGAATACTTAGGCTACCTACCTCAGAATGCTGTTGTGAAAATTAAACAGCATTTCTACAGTACTTGGAACAGAGGCTGGCATGCAATAAACATTCCACACATCACTGTGACTATCATTTCTATAATATTGTTTTTCATGAACAGTTGTATATTCTGCTTGTGCATTGCTTTAAAGTACACCAAAACCTGATGATTGAATTATACAGGCAAAGTTTGGGGCCACAGGTATTTCATCTTCCCCCTCAGCCTTGCTTCATCTACCCTAAGCCTTTTTGAAATATCTTCAGAACCCTGGACCACTGCATTCATTTGCTAGGGCTGACGTAAAAGTACCACAGACTGGGTGACTTAAACACCAGAAATTTATTTTCTTACAGTTCTGGAAGCTAGAAGTCCAAGATCAAGGTGTCGAAGGGGTTGATTTTTTCTGAGGCCTCTCTCCTTGGCTTATAGATGGTTGTCTTCTTCTGGTGTCTTGATATGGTCATTGCTCTGTTCATGTCAATATCCAAATTTCCTCTTCTTAGGACACCTGTTATATTAGACCGGAGCCAGCCCTAAGAACCTCGCTTGAACTTAATGACTTATCTAAAGACCTTATCTCCAAATACATTCTGAGACTGGGGATTAGGACTTCAACATATGGATAGGGATGGGACATGTTAGGCCACAACAACCTAAACCCAGTTTAGCTATCAGTCCCCAATCTCTGTAAGAAAAAAGTCCTAACAAGCATTGAGTTCTTTTCCTGCTATTTGTCTCTTGGCAGGGGACCGATGTAGTAGAATAAGCTCAACCATTGTTAATGGCACAGAGAACCCCATCCTGCAAGGATCTATTGTTCCCCGTAAGCATATTTCAATACCCTGAAGCCAAGTGTGGAAGAAATTAAATAGAAAAATTAAGTTCATCTTGCCACAATCAATAGGGGTGCGTTCTGACACAACCACCTACCCCATCAAGGTCATCATTCCCCAGACAAGTTTCCAGGGCCCAGGAACCAGACCTTGGAGTCAGAGGCTTGCTTAGGATTTCACATTTCCCCCACGTCCTCTGGAAGCAAGCTCACTAGTGCCTAGAAAATGACAAATCTAACTGATCACACATAGACTGGCCCTTTATGTGAGGGCATTTGCTTCTGTGAGATTTAGATGAGCCCAGTTGGAGTTGTTCGCCCATGGTTTCTCCTACTTCTTCCAGATGTGGCCTTGGCCTCAGCCATGCCTTGCTACTGCCACTTCATCTTTGCTGTCTCTTTGGGGGTTCTTGGTTTCTACCACCGTGCTGCCGTGGAGCTGCTCCTCACTCCCGTCAGGAAAATGCTGAAACCCTTAGCAGTGTTTCTCATTAAGTTTCACTCTCAAAGACAGAAAAACTCATCCCTAAGTTTTACACCCAGGAAGCTTAGCTGAGTGGAATTTTATCCCATCTTTCTGAGCACCCTGTCTTCTCATGATGCAAAAGGCCTAAGTACCACTCTAGAAGCATCCTGGCCATCTCTGCAGAAGCCTAGTTAGCAGTAGCTAGCTCAGTATTACATAGGTGTATGCATTCTACAAATATGATTCACCTAAATTTCCTATCTGGGAAGGTGTGGGATACAATGAGTAAAAAAAAAAATAGGCTTTAGGTTAAAATGACTAGTTAAATTCCTCTTCCCTTGCATTCCTTTTTTGACAAGTCATTGTTAAGAGCCTACTATGTGCTCTGCAGCTGTGATCTTAAGTAAATTTTTTGCACATCAGTTTTTTAATCTACAAAATGAAATAATAATTGCTACCTTGTAGCATTCTCAGAATTAAATGGCCTAATGTATGCAAAGACCTTGGAATATATAGTAGCTACTCAATAAATGGTAACTAGTATTATTTTCAGGTTAATGGAGAGTGACAGCAAATAGACCTGTAGTACTTTGTGATGGACATGACATTTTATCAGCACTGCCCTTTATGCCATTTTAGTGAGGTCTTCTTTTGTCAGGTTCCCTCAAACACTCCTCCTTCATTCATTCAATATGCAGAGTTTATGTGAGTGTCAACTCTGTCCTAGGCACAGCACCAGGCCCAAGGAATACAAGAGTGAACAAAAAATGCATAGTTCCTGAAAGCAGGAGGCTTATAATGATAAAGAGAAAGACAGATATTGAGCAAGTGATTTTATATATATGGTATATGCGCCGTGCAGAGGTATAAGTTACCTGAGAGCCTGTATTATAAAACCTGAGTGTGGGTGTCAAGTGGTACCTTTAGTCTGATAAAATCTGCTTAAGAAAATATCTACAGTCTGCAAATTACACAGTAATATTGGTATGAGTTGAAGTCTAGCTAAGCTATCAGCATTCCTGCAGTAGACTCAGCTTTCTGGATATTCCCACGACTTGTGTACATTCTGTCCCACATGACACTGATAGGAAAGGCATGTCCTGTCACTCCTGGGAATATATGTGTTGTTGTTTCATGAGATTTGGCTTCCCCAAAAGAAATGAGAAAGACCTAACATGGCCTTTCGTTATGAGAACATTCTTTCTGCGATCATTCCTGGCAAAATAATTTCATTTCTGCAAAAGCTTCCTAATGCATACTACTTTAACCCAGTTAGAGTGAAGGTGGCAGATTGGAAAATTGGCTGTGGTTTTCAACGTGAGCAATCAAAACAAATAAGGATGACTCTAGACTTCTAATGTCTCCCATGACCATTATATGTGAAATACAGGTTGGGTTTTTTTCTTACTGTTTTTCTTTTCTTTTCCTCTTCTTCTTCTTTTTCCTCTTCCAGTACTGTTATCTCTCTTTCTCACCCTTTTTAGTGTTACTTTAGTACTGTTCGAAAGAATTGAGAAGCCAAAATTCCTTGTATTCAGAAATAGCATTGCACAGACAGAGGCAGTGGGCCTCTACTGCCCAGACTTTATACTTTCTGGAAAATCCATTGCAAATTTTCACTGACCAGAATAGTGACATGACCTCTGAGGATAATTTCCTCTAGCCATCCAATTAGAGACTCAGACCTCTCCAAGGAGAATTAGGAAACAATCAGCAGGGAGTAATTGTAGGATGGTAGCTGTGAAATAGCTCTCTACTTAGTAAATGTGATGAATAGGCAGAATGTAAATCTCCTGAGCCAAAAGAAAATCATAAGTGGATAAAGCAGCTTACACACTAACTATGGTTTTTAGTGATGGCTTATATGGCTTAAGATCCTCCGAGATCTGCAAGAAGCAGAGCTTACTAGAGGTGCCAAAAAGGATTACTTTTTGCACACTGTAATCTCTACTTGTTTACAGATTCAAATAGATCTTTTTGACAGCCCAAGACAAGGAGTTCATAGAATAGAAAAACCTGGATGGCAAAAAAAACAAAAATATCATTAACATTTTGAAAAAAATAACTTTTAATTATAAAACTAATATACTTGAAAAGATTATTTAAGAAAATTTGAAATGTAATGAAGAATATTTTTAAAATACTGATGAAGAAAAACAGTATGTATGCATATAATATTAAATTGTTACATGTTTAAAGGCCTCTCCCAACATGTTTTCTGATTGCATAATGTTCCTTTGTACAGAAGTAATATAATTTAACCAGACAACCTTCTGCTGATAGACATTCAATTATTATTTTTGTCCATAATTAATGTTGCAATAACTGCTGCTTCAGCTGACTTTAGCTGTATCATTGCATAGTTAAGATTATTTCCTATGATATCCTTCTAAAAATTGAATTGCTCAGTCAAAATTTACATATTTGAATGGTTCTTGAGTAATTACTGCCAAATTTCCCTTCAGAAGGGGTACTTCTGTTCACTCCAAACAGCGTGATTGATGAGAAACCATATTTTCTGGGGACATGTTCTAAACAAAAATACAAAAATCTTAATTTTATTTCTTATTTCCTTTGCACAAACGTAAACCAACTATTGCTCATTTTCCCCCTACTTGGTCTCCTATCTTCCTCTCAGCATGCTGCTTGAAATTCTTCCCATCTCCATCTCCATGTGTGGTCTAATGGAGCTGGCCCTTTTTTCTGCAAATGCTTTTTTCTTTATCAGAGAGGAATGCAATGTTTCATCTGACCCTGACTTGACAGATCTGAGGTTTAGCAATAAATTCCTCTTATCTTCCTTATCAGATCTGAAGGTCAAAGGTATGGTTCCAAATCTAAGTGCTATTTTTGACAAAGAAAGCCAAACACTCCCTTTTCATCTGAAACATCACAAACCTTCATTGTTTTCTCTTACTAAATGCACTTCTGGGAACCCTCGATTTGTTATAGCCTCCTTTGGGTTCTGTATAATGACCTGCCACTATGTGATAAGGGAAAGATTGATTTTGCTTTCTTCTTGTAAAAGAAAACACAACTTCCTTATTTGAAAGAATATCCATTCCAAAAAGCTATGTACTGTGTTGTGACCCAGCACCAGCCCTCTTTGACCCCGGCACCAATTAGCAGAAAGTACTCTACTGTCCTGACCCCCTGTCCTCCACCCCAGCAATAAACACACCACTTCAGGTAACATAGATGGAGATCTGTGCTGTCCTACACAGTAGCCACTAGCCACATGTGGCTATTTAAGTTCAAATTAATTAACCGTAACTAAAATTGAAAATTCAGTTTCTCAGTTACATTAGTTATATTTCAAGTGATCCGTCAGTTTAAGTCTAATATGCAGCTACAGAGCAGTACATATTATAGAACATTTTCATGGTCAGAAAAATTCTATTGGACACCATTCATCTAGAGATTCATTTTTGGTGATTTCCAGAAAAGGGCTGAGGGCAAATTTAGAAACAGATTTCTTTCTCCAAGTTTGTGCTTTTTCTTTCAAAGTACCTTACCCTCTCAATCCCAACATAGAAATCTCTGGTTCATGTACTGGTCTGATAAGGAATATTTACAATCACGTGCAGTGAAGAGTTAGGGATCAGAAAACAATTCCCCAAAATGAAAGCCTCAGCAGCAGTCTCACAAGCAAAAGTTCTTCTCTGACCTTTTCCTGTCCTCTCGTCTCTCGGGCCCATTCTCCCCAGAGGCTAGCCATAGAAACGAGAATCATTCTTCCTGAAAGTGGGTCATAAAAACCAGAACCCTTTTCTCAAAAGCCAGAAATAAAACCTAAAAATATTCTCTGTAAAAACTGGCCATAAAGAAATTATCTGACCTATCTTGTTTGATTGTAGGTCATAATGCCCCCATTCCAGACAGGGTCATGCTGACACCCAGAAGGAAGGAATGCATGCTCAGAGACACCAAGAAGAATCTGGAAAGAGGACTTGCCCGGTTCCTCACTCAGTCTATTAACATTAGATCATACTCTTTTTGTCCAATCATATTTCTACACAGCTATCCATATTTTGTTGAATACAACCAGAAAAATGAACAATTTTCCCCAGTATCTATCTTCATTCTGAAGGCTCCCGTGTATACACGCCAAATAAATATTTGTGCCTTTTCTCCTATTAACCTGCCTTTTGCAAGTTGGTTTTTTAGTGAACCTTTCCCCTTGGCCCCCACAGAAGGAATTTGATTGTAACAACCTACAGGAATAAGATACAGGAGACAAATTTACCTCATCAGCAACACAGCCATCGTAGACCAGTTTTGCTGACCTGATCTCCTCTACCTTACTTTCTCTATCTTTACAGCGAGCCACCAGTCCTAGAGGAAGGCTCTGGGCAAGGATACAGTGGTGCTTCCAACAAATAAAAGTGTCTGCCTTGATGAAGCCATGCATTCTAGTATAGGGGAGAAAAAATGTTATTTTTTCTTCACCCATTGCAAGATTGCAAGCTGAGGCTCCGGTAACAAAAGACACATTAACAAAAGTATACAAATGCATTTAACAAAAGTTTGGTTTTTTTCCTGAGACGGAGTCTCGCTCTGTCACCAAGGCTGGAGTGCAATGGCGCAATCTCAGCTCACTGCAACTGCTGACACCCAGGTTCAAGTGATTCTCCTGCCTCAGACTCCCGAGTAGCTGGGATTACAGGCACGTTCCACTATACACAGCTAATTTTTGTATTTTTAGTAGGGATGGAGTTTCACCATGTTGATCAGGCTGGTCTCTAACTCCTGACCCCAGGTGATCCACCTGCCTCAGCTTCCCAAACTGCTGGGATTACAGGTGTGAGCCACCGTGCCAGGCCTGTTTTATGAGAAGATCTATGTATTTTCATGGACAGTCATGCAGAAGTATGATTGGAGGACAGGAGTTTTAACTAATGGTAATAAACTTGGGGAGGGCGACTTAGCCACGCTTGTGTTTACAGATTCTTGTCTATATCCCTGTGTCTTCAGAGATAAAGGTGGTAATGAGGGTCTTATCATCTCCTTCAGGGGAGAAGGGCAGAAGCATATCAGAGAGTGACCTTCATGCTTCTGTGGTTTTTCTCAATTTCCTTCAGCTTAAACTGCTCAGTATGCCAAGGAGCTATAATTTGGAGTAATGTCTTCTGAGGCATGTCATATGAAACTAGTAAATACCATGATCTATGATTTTATAGTTTTCTTAAATAGAGCAAGCCTATTTTTGTGTATTTTTTAATATTTGATTTCTGTTTCAATATCACCATGACATTCAACAGAGTGAGCCTCTTACAATCCTCTAATGTATAATAACCTGTTTTCACTTAGGACTCTAAAGTTCTCTCCATTTCACAGTCACTCAGCTTGGATAAGTTTTTATCTTCCATTCATTAAAAATTCCCTTATTCTCACTTAATACTTGCCTTAACATGCTGCTTTGGACAAATAACTATCCTTAACTAGGTTGAGAGAATCAGAATTATCCCGCTCAGACAATAAGAAAGAAATTGTCCTTCCTGGAAGATCTGCTTTAAATGAATTAAGATTTTAAGCTAAATTTACAATGACCAGAATATCATTGTACAGTCCATCTTGCTAGAGATACGATGTACATGGATCAAGTACTTCAAAGGCAAGCTTCTGGAAAAAACCTTCAATGGTGTATATGTTCTATCCGAATGTATAAAACACAACCTATCAACAGACATTAATTAACTAGAGGGGATGGAAATGTGATGTCATGGGAAAGTGGATTCTATGTAGTGTTTTAGTATTTACTCAATGAAAATCCTTTAGGCCACAACAATTTGTTCTTTGTGGATGGACATAAGTGGACTTATTTTAGATGCTACTGTGATTCTGGATCTGGCTGCTTGATGGGGTCAGAAGGAAGTGGTTTGTGTGGCTCTTTTCCCTACCAAGGGACTTTCAGTTGAAAGAGGTGAACACGTGGGAATCTATTCAAAAATAATAATGCTAAATCATTCTGAGGATAGCAGAGTAAAAGTCCCAAGTGCTGCTAAAGCACTTAATAATGCAAAAACGTTCCAGACTACTTGAAGCATCTTGATTAGTTGAAATTGATGACTAGCTGCCAGCTCCCTGATAAAAAATAATGAGGTTTCTTGTTGGACAATATAAGAGAAAAATGTGAAGCCAAATATTATCCCTGCTGTTAAGGTGTTGAAAGTAAATATACATATTTTTACACACATATGTTGATATTTTGATTAAATTTCTGACTTAAAAGCAATACCACAATATTAACATTTAAATCACTGTAGATCAAGTTCTCAGATCTACATATATTGGGAAAGTAGACTTTATGAGAATCTTCATTTCTTTATGGATTTAAGATGACCTTTTCCTGCTGATACACACAGGCAACTGCAAATCACTAATAAAGAAATGTCTGTGCTATTGTTTGTGCAGTGATCCAGTATTTTTGTTCTGTGGATGCCTTTTAATTTGTGCCTTAACTTTTTATTCAGAAATGCTTATTAGGCGCCTACTTTTTTTTTTTTTTGAAATGGAGTCTTGCTTTGTTGCCCAGGCTGGAGTGCAGTGGCGCGATCTCGGCTCACTGCAAGCTCCGCCTCCCGGGTCCACGCCATTCTCCTGCCTCAGCCTCCCGAGTAGCTGGGACTACAGGCGCCCGCCACCACGCCCGGCTAATTTTTTTTCTTTTTGTAGAGACGGGGTTTCACCGTGTTAGCCAGGATGGTCTTGATCTCCTGACCTGGTGATCCGCCCGCCTCAGCCTCCCAAAGTGCTGGGATTACAGGTGTGACCACCGCACCCAGCCAAGGTGCCTACTTTTAATCTAGGCAATGAAAGCTCTGTTTCAAAAACAGAGGTAGTGCTGCTCTCATTCATAATAAAAAGTTATTGAATGCTTGTTTATCTATATCTGATGTAGGTCTAGACATTAAGTTGAGTGAACTTACAATGGTCTCTATCATTTCATAGTTTATGAGATGGACAAAGCAAGCATTTATGTGTTTATATGCAAGTGATGAATTCAAAAGGAGTCATATATAATATGACTAATTATTTCTATATGTCCTCTGCAATTGTGAACATTTTGAATTTATAAATTCCAAATGTAAATTAAAGAAAAATTAGTTTAAAGTCAGAAAGGGACTGGAACCTTGCTTGAGAATGTTGAGAATGATATGTGCATAGTTTCCAAGGATACAGTGAAAATATCTCATTGCTCAGACCCACTATCTTGTTTCTCAATATACTATGTCAATTTCTACAAGTGATTCATACTGACTCAAATTAAAACCGTTTCTAACCTGCTTTTAACAGGCTGAAATGGTTTAGAAGGTGCAAAGGTGAAAGCTGGAGCTACTCTTTGCTTCCTAGTATGTGAGCCTTTATTTTTTACTTCAATTACAATGTGTAGTGCTGAGGCTAAACACAGCTGTGTGTGTATATTTGTCAAAGATTATTCATAAAATATAGCTCATCCTTCATCTAATTGAATAAAATATTAATGTACATCAAAATGACAGGACTTTAAACACACATATAAACCTTACAAAAATGACAAACAAATCTACCATAAATGCTTATATTTATAGAGACAAAACTTTCATTGAAAATTGGGGACTGCTTCTGAGATATCCTGAAGACAAGAAGAATATACAGTGTTCACTACTACAGTATTCACTAGTGAGTCCTTCTGAGCCTGGTCTCTAAGTGGCAGTGACTATGAGCTTAGAGAAGTCACATCCATGCACTAATCATCATTAGTCAAGGAACCACCTTACCCTCCTTATAAATATGATTCCTGACCTTAAACAGCTCAACATCTTTTCTTCCTTGTCACTGATTAATTTCTTCACATGGGGATAAAGTGATATCAGAAAAGAAGCATGGGGTTTAAAACAATTAAAATTAGCATCTGAATAACTATCACTTATGAAATGATTTGAGGGCTATTCATTCTTTTCATTTCTAGAACTATTCAATGATGTAATTGAGGTTTATTCCATTTCCCTCATAAGGGAAAACTGAGGCTTGTAAAGAGTTATTGAGATCTTGTTCAAGACTTGGATACGCATTAGTGACAAAATCAGGGTTCCAATACATGTTCTAGGACTCCAAGGAGCCCTCTAGCAGCTACGTGGTTTATCGGACACGATTTTGTAGATAGAACTTTGTATGAAAAAAAGCATCAAAGGTTCACCCATTGTCTGAGTAAAATCTTAATCATAAAGAATCCTAGCCAAGACCAACTCAAGCACAGTTTTTCTTATGCTCTCCCAAGATAGTAAGACACAGGTGGGCGTGTGGAGTTTCTGTGTGTGCTGGCCTGCTGCTATCTTAGACATAGAACGTGGGGAATCATGGCATTGTTGCCTTGGCAACAGGATGTAAGGAAGCCTGCCTGGGGCATTTCCATGCACTCCATGTATTCTATTGACAAGACAAACAGGATGTAGGTGAGTGTGCACAACTCAAAGCTAGCCTCCTTTGAGAACTTATTGTTAGAGCAGAAGGAAAGTATAGAAGAATAATATTACCAATTCTTGCAGTGTGAGCACCCTACATCCCACAAACTCAGTCATACTGAGTTCAAGGTCATTGCATTGGAAAAAAAAAAGGGCTAAGATAACCTAGTATTCATGGCTGAATGCGCAATTAATTGGAGCCCTAAAACCTCATAAGAATGTATAATACTTTAATCCAAAAACTACTGCCAAAATTATAGAACAAATAAAATGTAATGTCCTGGAATACTGACAAGATCAAAGGTGTGTCATAATTTAAAAAATAAAAATAACGAAGTCCTTCCTCTTAATTTATAAACTATAACTAAGATTGGCCTTGGAGTCAGAGAAGGCTAGATTTAAAATCAACCTTTGTCACTTAACTAGCTGTGTAACTTTAGTAAGGTAAATATGCAGCTCTCTAGGCCACTGTAAAATGGAGATGATAACACTTTCCTAAAAGAATTGTGGCAGGGATTAAATGAAATAATTGTATATCAGTAGTTCTCAATCATGCGTGATTTTCCTCCCTGTAGAACATCTGGCAACATATCATATAGCAACCTTCAATTATTTGTTGAATATTTACTATATGCACTATAATAAGAGGAAAATACAAAGGATTATAAGTTCATGATATGATTATTATCTTGGAAAATACTAAACAGATAGAAAAAGAGTTTGATAACTGTATAAGGAAAAATACATAATCAAGAAACAAAAAGCAGCAATCAACTTCTGGAATGGCCCAGTGACCACCTCTATGAATTCACTCTCCGTCTAAAACTATGGCAGTATAGACAAAAAACAAAACAAAACAAAACAAAACAAAACAGAAATAAACCACTGCAGAATGCAGGCAATTAACCAAAGCTGCAAAATGAACTGAGAATCATCTACCCAAGATACCTAGTGAATTTCAATAAGACAGCATACTCCGTAACATTTTAACTTGGGGCTATCTGCATCTTCTCTCCCTCCCCTGCTCAGGAGCTCCGTAACCAAAAGCAGGCAAATTGCAGACAACAGAGAAATCTGATTACTTTTGAAATTTTGTGAAAAGCACCATCCCTAAAGTACAGTCAAACTCCTGCACAAACTTGTAGATTCCTAGAAAGTGGGTATTCTCAGGATGTGGTAGCTATTTGATTTGATGCAGGCTCAGCTCAGCAGGGGTACAGGGATCAGACTGAGGAACTTTGAAAGCTCCTACATATTCCTAGGAATCTGAAAGACAGAACATGTGCAATGCTGTGTGCATTCACAGCAAACACCTGAGGAAGGAAAAGTCAATGGTCACTCATCTCTTCTTGGCCTTAAGGCCATGATCAAACAGGAAGTAAAAGCTAAGGTTATCTTGTAAACTGATGCCAAAAAATAAAAAGTGGGAGACATATAGGAAACTCATTTAAAGAAATCTTCTGGCCCATAATTGACCACGAGGTTATAATCATCAAGGGCTTACTCTCAGAAAGCCAAGCTTAAAAATAAAGACAAAAACATTTATTAAGAAGCTAGTAGAGAACTAAGTAGACACACACAGCAGGACAGGCAGAATGTACAGAATGACTCCATGAAAGTCACAAGCAAATAAGAAGCAAAAAGAAAACCTAAAATGACAACATAAAAATAGGAACACAATACATCTTTGTGAGACAGAAATATTGTCACAATACATTAATGACCAGAACTCAAAAAATATATATTAACATGCAAACAAATGGTAAAGTAAGCCACATGCACAAAGAAAAAGCAGCAAACACCACATTTCATATGGAAACTTTAAGCATGAACGTAGTTTACAAAGACATTAAATCAACTATTATCAATATATGTATACTAAAGGAAACCATGTCTAAAGAATTCAGGGAAAGAGTGACAATGATGTCTCATTAAAGAGAAAATATTAATAAAGAAAAAAATTATCTTAAAAGAACCAAAAAGAAATTATAAAGTTGAAAAGTACAACTGAAGTAAAAATTTTAATAGAAAGGTTCAACAACAGATTTCAGCTGGAATAAGAAAGAATCATTAAATATGAAGATATGTCAATAGGGACTACTCAATCTGATGAGCATGAAGAAAAACAAAAGAAAGAAAAATAAACAAACCTTAGGGAACTGAAAAACACCATTAAGTGTACCAAACTATGTATAATGGAATTTCCAGAAATAGAAGAAAAACAAAGAAAGGATTAAAAAATTTGAGAAAATAGCCAAAACCTTCCTAAATTTAAAGAAAATAGGAATCTATACATTCAAAAAGTTTAATGAACTCCAGATAGAATAAATTCAAAGAGATCAACGCCTATGACATATCGTATCCAAGATGGCAAAAAGACAAAGAGAAAAATCTTAAAAACAGCAGTAGGAGAAAACCTTACTACATAAAAGAGAGCCTTAATAAAATTAATAGCTGAATTGTCATCAGAAAGCATGTAAGCCAGAAAACTAAGTAATGACATTGTCAAAGTTTCAAAGTGTTAAAAAAGAGACTGTCAGCTCAAAATTCTATATACAGTTAAACTCTGCTTCAGAAGTGAAAGTTAGGACATTTCTAAATTATCAAAAACAGAATTCATAGCTAGCAGACCTGCTCTACAAAATAGTTAAAGGAGACTTTCAGGATGAAATAAAAGAACACTAGATGGTAACTCGAATCCACATGATGATGTGAGAGCACCAGTAAAGCTAACCATATAGGTACTATGAAAGACAATAAAAGTGTATTTTTTGTTTGTCACTCTTTTCTTTTCCTATTTTAAAAGACAACAACATAAAGGAAGATTATATATTTGTATTGATAATCTTGTAACATATAAAGATATAGCTTGTATAATCATACAAAACAGGGATAAAAGAATGAAATTATATTAGAGCAAAATGATTTTTATACACTGTAAAATTAAGTTAGTAATATTCTCAACTAGATTGCATTAATTAAGATGCTAACTGAAACCTCTAGAACAACCATTAAGGAAGTTACTAAAAATATGGACTAAAAGAAAAAGGAAATTAAAAATAAACTGGATTATATCCATTTAATATTTTTGAAAGACAGGAATAAGAAGAAACATAGTCCAATAGAAAACAAATATCAATAGAAAAATAGCAGCTGTAAATCCTCCATTATCAATAATCACATTAAATGTAAATGGACTAAACACTCCAATCAACAGGCAGAGATTGGAAGAATGGATTTTCAAAAAATGTTACAGCTCTATGTTGTCTACAAGTGATATAGTTTAAATTCAAAAACAGAAACTGATTAAAAGTACAAAAATTGAAAAAGATGCATCAAGCAAACAGTAACCAAAAGAGAGCTGGAATAATAATACTGATATCAGACAAAATAGACTTTACAAGAAAAGTCATTACTAGATATAAGGAAGGATATTTTATATAATACCATAAATTCATCAGGAAGATATGATTATAAAAATATATTCACCTAACAGCAGTGCACCAAAATACATACTGAAAAACCTGAAAGAATCGAAGACAAAAACATCACAGGTTTATTAATTGGAGATTTTAATATGCCACTTTCAATGTGGGATTTATCCCATGGAAAGGCTGTATATGCAAAGCTGCCCCCAAATGCTGAAAGAATCAAGAAACCAAAAAATGGAGGCAGACATCCAGTTTGTCAGTAAAGGCTGATTTATTGTGGGAACTTAAAGACAGAATCATGGTCTTGGGCACCAGCAAGACAAGTACATCTCTATGCCACAACTGCCCCAGACCCAGGGGTTATACCTTGGGGAGAAGGTATGTGTGTTATTGAAGAAACGTGTAGGTGATTGAGAGAATGCCCTGAGTGTCACAGCCTGTGATGTGTGCAATTACATCAAGAGCTGTGTAAAGAAAAATTTTTTAAATCTTGGGAGACCCCCAAGCTTCTTGTGCATGAGATCCTTGCAACAGCCTCCTCCAAATGAATAGCTGTTACTTAAATCATGTCTCAGCCAGATCCCCCTGGAAAGATAAAAAGGCCTCATCAGACGTCTGTGAACAACTACCTCCACAGACCATTTACTACAGTTAAGAAATTCCTGAAATCTTCACCACCTTGGGTTACTCCATGGTTTCTTAGAAATGACAATTAAAGCACAAAAGACAAAATAAAAAATACATGAAATGGAATTCATTAAAATAAAAACTTGTTTATCAAAGGACATCATTAAGAAAGTGAAAAGACGACCCACAGAAAGGGAGAAAATACTTGACATTTGAATATGTTATATCTGCCAAGGTACCTGTATCCAGAATATATAAAGACTTCTTTGAACTCAACAATAAAAAGATCAAATAGCCCAAGGAATAAATCAGTGAGAGATTTGAATGGGTATTTTTCCAAAGATAATATAAAAACAGCCAATAGGCGGGGCGTGGTGGCTCACACCTATAATCCCAGCACATTGGGAGGTCAAGGCAGCGGATCACCTGAGGTCAGAAGTTCAAGACCAGCCTGACCAACATGGAGAAATGCCGTCTCTACTAAAAATACAAAATTAGCTGGGTGTGGTGACGCATGCCTGTAATCCCAGCTACTCGGGAGACTGAGGCAGGAGAATTGCTTCAACCCGGGAGGTGGAGATTGCAGTGAGGCAAGATCATGCCATTCCACTCCAGCCTGGGCAACATGAGCGAAACTCTGTCTCAAAAAAAACAAAACAAAACAAAAAAAAAACAGCGAATAAACAAATTAAAATATGCTGAACATTATTAGTCATTACAGAAATGTAAATAGGAGCCAAAATGAGATACTACTTCACATCCACCAGAATGATTACAGTAATAAAGATATTAGCAATTGTTGGTGAAGATGCAGAAAAAGTGGAAACCCTCATACATTGCTAGTGTAAGTAAAAAGGTGCAGCACCTTTGGAAAACAGTTGGCACTTCCTCAAAAAGTGAAGAATATGATTACCATAGTACTCAGTAATTCCATTCCTTGGTGTACACCCAAAAGAAATGCTTATGCAAAGACTTGTACATGAGTATTTGTAGAAACATTACCCATAATAGCAAAATGTGCAAACAATATAAATGTCCATCAACTGATAAATGTATAAACAAAAAGTAGTATACATATACAATGAAATATTAGCCAATAAAAAATAATGAAGTATTGATACATGCTACAACATGGATGAACCTTGACACACCGTGATAAGTGAAAGAAGTCAGACACAAAAGACTGATAAGATTCTGTCTGTGCAGTGTCTACCACAGGCAAATCCAAACAGACAGAAAGCAGATCAGTAGTTGCCAGGGAGTGGGATTGTTCAGGGACAGGAAATGAATGCTAATATGTATGGAGTTTCTTTTGGGAATCATGAGATGTCCAGAAAGTAGATAGTGGTGATAGCTGCATAACACTGAATATACTAAAACCTACTGAACGATATACTTTAATTGGGTGAATTTTATGATATGTGAAATATATCTCATAAAGCTAGAATAAAGAATTAAAAAGTAGAAAAATGCTATAAAGATTTAATCATAGAAACCAGGAAAAATTAAATGATAGAAGCATAATACATGTGAGTCCTTGAAATGTGTGTGCAGTGTGCACAAAATGCATCAGAGCCCCTCTGACTTAACATCTATCGACCTGTTTACAATCCAGCATTTTGTGGCTCACGCCTGTAATCCCAGCACTTTGGGAGGCCGAGGCGGGCGGATCACGAGGTCAGGAGATCGAGACCATCCCGGCTAAAACGGTGAAACCCCGTCTCTACTAAAATACAAAAAATTAGCCGGGCGTAGTGGCGGGCGCCTGTAGTCCCAGCTACTTGGGAGGCTGAGGCAGGAGAATGGCGTGAACCCGGGAGGCGGAGCTTGCAGTGAGCCGAGATCCCGCCACTGCACTCCAGCCTGGGCGACAGAGCGAGACTCCGTCTCAAAAAAAAAAAAAAAAAAAAAAAATCCAGCATTTTCCTCTCTACACCTGGGGCTTGAACAGAGCAGCTGAACTGCTTGTTCTTTTATATTCAATAGATAAAGTATCACTCTGGAAAACATGTCAGAAGGGAGAGTGTCCAACAAACAGTCTAGATTCCTATGTAAATAAATACTAAGCTGAGGAATCACAAATATAAGCTCAATTGGCTGGAGCAGAAAGCAAGATCTTGGATTTTCCCAGTGCATGCAATTGGGAGAATTAAAGACAGTTTTCTGAAGCACCACTCCTTCATTAATTCATTCACTTTTCCAGTTGTCTATATCAAAGATGAAAAGAGATAAATCACATCTGAATCTTGATCTTAAATTACTTACAAATTTGTCAGTTTATTACTTAGGACTCTTGATAAAACTGAAAACATAACACAAATGATTGTAAGCAAAAAAGTAGAAAAATATGACTAAGGTAAATGGGAAGTATTATACAGGGAAACTCACTCCAGGCAAGCCTTACTCCTGGAGTTCAGGGCTCAGTCTGCCTTTTCTCTTGACTCTGTTTCTCTTTGATTGGCACCTTTCTCAGATGAGCTTTATGCAAGGGCTGACAAACGGCTGCCAGTAGCTCCATGCTCACATATTTTCAGGTTAGCAACCTCAACAGAAAGAGAGCCTCTTCCTTGCAAAGTTGATAAATTGATACCAGTGAAGATTACAATGAGCTGAGCCATGTACTCATCGCCCTGTGAAGTTGTGGGTGGGCAACTGGTGGGGAGGAGTGGGAAGGGACAGGACGCTAACACTGACAGTCCCAACAGGCCAGGCATGCAAATACCATAACTACCACCACTCTGTACTTCAAAGCCAGTTGTGCAACCTGTGCAAATAAACGTAAAAAGCAGACTTTGTTAAATGCTGCACAATTGGTATAAATGAAATATGAGTGGGGTTCAGAAGAGTAGAAAATCTCTTACAATTGAAGATAATCAGCAAATCTTCATGAAGAGGTAGGATTTTAATTTGGAACTAAAATGATTTCCAGTGTAAGTTTTCACCAAATGAGAAAGAGGAGAATCTACACAAAAAGAAAACAATGGAGCCGGGCGTGGTGGCTCATGCCTGTAATCCTAGCACTTTGGGAGGCCGAGGTGGGCAGATCACGAGGTCAGGAGATCGAGACCATCCTGGCTAACACTGTGAAACCCCGTCTCTACTAAAAAATTAGCCAGGCATGGTCGTGGGTGCCTGTAGTCCCAGCTACTCTGGAGGCTGAGGCAGGAGAATGACATGAACCTGGGAGGCAGAGGTTGCAGTGAGCCGATATCACGCCACTGCACTCCAGCCTGGGCAACAGAGCAAGACTCTGTCTCAAAAAAAACAAAAAAACAAAAAAAAAACACAATGGAAAGTTTCACTATTAAAAGTATCCTACAGGGCCAGGCACAGTGGCTCACTCCAGTAATCCCAGCATTTTGGGATGCTGAGGCAGATGGATCACTTGAGGCCAGGAGTTCAAGACCAGCCTGGCCAACATGGTGAAACCCCAACTCTACTAAAATTTATACAAAAAAAATTGGCCGGGCATGGTGGCACATGCCTGTAATGCCAGGTACTCAGGAGGCTGAGGCAGGAGAATCTCTTGAACCTGGGAGGTGGAGGTTGCAGTGAGCCGAGATAATGCTACTGCACTCCAGCCTGGGTGACAGAGTGAGACTCCATCTCAAAAAAAAAAAAGAGTATTCTACAGGGTAAGTGGAAAGAAAGACAGGGCACAGTGCTCAATCAGAATATCTGGTATAATCAAAATGGACCTATGCGTTGCTGGGGAGGCTGGGGAGGCAAACGAGAGCGGGGAGAATCATTCCCACTGTTGCTCTTCTGATGCTTTCCTTCTTTTTCTATAAGAAATCTATGTAAGTTTCCATTTGCTTTTTAATTTTTCTCCAAGTTTGCCTTCTTTCTTCTTTCCAGTTTACTAAACATAAGCAAAAGAATAATGGATACCTGAGTGGTCAAACTGGTGAAATTTTCTGCAGCATACTTATGGGACTGCTTTTAGGGACAGTTGAACTTTCTCCCATGCATGAAGCATGTACCTAACCCTAACATGCAGTCACAGTTCCCCAGCTAGTCACCCAAACTGTCAGGGCCATTGAACACCAAGAAGTGGTCACAGGGCATTAATTCAAAATTATTAAACACTAAACACTCATTTAATAGTTTTATTGATTTTTTTTTACAAGGAGAAATTAGCATGACTGGACCTTGAAAACTTACCTCTGCCTATGAACTAAGATGACTTGTTTTCTTCATTTTAAGAACAATGTCAAAGCTGAGATTCTTGCTACTATAGAATGTCCCCTTCTCCCCACCTCACCCTTTCTCCCACATACGTTTCTTTACTGAAACGGGTTTTAATTGTCAAACACTAGTTCATATCTTCCTAGTTATTTCTCACTGTAACAAGGAAAGGGACAATGGCTAGGTTTAAATCCTAACCCTGCCATTTAGTAGTCTTAGCCATGGGCAAATTACTTATTAAGCTAATATTAGTGCCTGTCTCGTAGGGTTGTGAGGAATACTGAATTAGTTAATACATGTAAAATTTTTGAAACAGGGCTCAGAGGAAGCACAAAAACTTAATTAAATCCATTACTTAGCACGAGCACAGTTTCATCCTCTCTGAGTGTCTAGCTAAGGCCTTGGTGACTTGCAGAAACTCAAACTGTACCAGAATAAGATGATCCCACAAAGTGAGGCCTGAGCCAATGGCTCTGCGGCCCCCACTGCAGCCTTTCCCATGGCTATGTACACGTAAGGGCTGCCAACAGCAATTGGAGGCAAGTCACAGAGCCACGAGGATTGGAGTCACAAAAATGTTTCAGTTGCAAACTTTATCAAGGCCTTCTGCAGGAACTTTGCATGTTCTTTCCTCTGCTCTTCCATTCCTAAATGCAGCTGTTCCAGACCTTAGTGGCTTTTCTCAAACTTTTTATTGCTGAATGACTCAAAGGCAAGCTAAGCACATGCTTACCACAGCAGCAGCATCAATAAAGAAGAGAAACAATCAGAAAATCTGTCTACTTTAATCTCGTCACATGTTATAGGTTTGTATTATTTTAAGATAAATCAGATTTTCTTCACCCCCCCTCCCCCGGAGAGTTAAATACAGTGGAGTAAGAGCATGCACCGTAATATTATCAACACTTAGTGCCTTTAAAGGCTTTAATCCTTTTACTCTCAGCAGACAACCCTCTTCACTTTATTGCAAAAAAAGAATGGAGAATGTCAGGCATCAACTCGCTCTACTTCACAGAACCCTAATCTCCAAACAAATCTGTGCTCACATACCTGCTTTCTTTCTTCATGCAGTTTCAGAATACAAGAGGTCCTATCCCCTCCCTAGGTTTTACATAATGCTATCTTTATGATTATTCCCTTACTCCCTTCTTCCCGAGCAGACCCTTGTCTGCTTACAGAATAGGTTCAGGTATCTCCTATCTTAGAAAACATGCCACATCCCTCCTGAGGTTTCGCCCCATTTCCTCCCTCTGTTCTGCAGCAATTCAAAGCAATTGTTTGTTTCTATATGCTGCCTTCCCTTGCTTACATTGCTTCGCTCATGTACTATGAGAACCTGGCTGTTGCTCTCAGCACTGCAGTGCAACTGATCTCACTGAAACTCAGCAGCAGCCACTGGAGCTTATTCATATCCCTGGAGCATCTTCGGCTTGCATTTTCTGAACTCTCTTTTATTTACAGACCTGCCTGAGGCATCTGACACCCTCCACCATCATTTTATCTCTTCAAATTCCATTGCTCTCATGGTTTACACAGTAACACTTCTTCTATTTACGTTTTTTAAGCCTTAATATAGCTTTACTTAGCCTCTTGACAAATTATTTTCCCCTTTCTGCCTCTGATGCTTTCACAAAATTCTTTCCTGAGTCGTCTTCTCTTCTCACTCTATCAGTTTCCCTGGGCAGTGTTGTCCACTCTTCTGGCTTCAGCTGGCACTACGAATATGCTGATGGTGCCTGAATATTATCCCCAGCCTGAATCTATTCTCTGAGATCTAGATCTAGATCCTTAATGCCACTGAAGGCTTCCCAGATGGCTCAGAAAAACTTTAAACTCACTACAACAGGAAGATAGCTCATCTTCTGCAAATCTTATCTTATTTTATATTCCTTTTGGTTTTGGTATTGATAACATTAGTTCCCTCTTTGTATTTGATTTTAATCTTCTCCTTCCACAATCTTCCTGGCAGCTAAACTGTGCTGTCAGCAGTTTTTGTTCTAAGACTGAAACAAAACTTGAATTTAAGGATGTACTAAAATTTCCCCAAAAAAAGTGTAGAAGAAATGTAAATAATTAAACTAACAAGATATGTTGTTTGTAAATTTATAGAATTTATTAAAGCATAAGTTTGACCAAAAATTTTGGTGTGTGTGTGTGTATCCTTAGTTTGGACCGCTATAACAGAATACCATAGACTGGGTGGTTTAAACAACTTTCATGTCTCATAGTTCTGGAGGCTGGGAAGTTCAAGATCAAGGTACCAGCATGGCTGGGTTCTGACAAGGGCTCTCTTCCTGGTTTGCAGATAGCCATCTTCTCTATGTATCCTAGCTGACTTTCTTCTTGTTTTAATAAGGACATTAATCCCATCATAGGGTCTCTGTCCTCATAACCTAATTACCTCCCTGAGGCCTCACATTCAAATACTATCCCACTAGGGGTTAGGATTTCAACATATGAATCTTGAAGGGACACAAATCTGGAGTCCATAACACACATGCACATAGATAGCCAAATGGATATACATAGATATAGACATAATTATTTCTGATCTCCATCCCTACCGCTTCTGCTATACAGCAGTTTAAATATCTCTTATCTGGACAATAACAATGGCCTTCTATTTCAGTGTATGACAACCATCAGCCACCATTAGCAGCAAAATTCCTTGAAAATTCTTATTCAGGGTCTTACACTAGCCCTGCTAATTAGAAATCTTTGAGAATAGGGCTTGACAATTTATACTACTACACAAGTTCCCCAGATAATTCTTGTGTATTTTAAAGTTTGACAACTGTTTCTTCTGCTGGTTAATTTGTCTTTCCTCTTCCCACCCATTCTCCACATTGCTGACAAAATAATCTCTCATGAACACAAATCAGATCATAACTCGACATTGTTTTACATGCTTAATTATTGCCCATCACTGCAGAGATAAAGTTCAAACTCTATGATGTGATTTAAAAGGCCCTTCAACATCTAGCACTTGCATACCCTTTCAGTACACATGCTCAGACCAGGTGATTTCCTGAAATATTAAATACTTCCGGGCCCTCAAATATGTCATTTGCTCCACATGAAATGATAATGAAAGTTTAGTTTTCTTTCTGGTCTCTCTTTGTACCTCTCCTGATTCACCACATTTGTCTGGCTTTCTCTTTATAGTGTGATCTTATCTTTAGAATATGATCTATGTCACTCACGTTTGTAGCATCAGCATCAAACACAATATCTGGCATTTTCAGTTTCTCAACGCTGTTTTGACATGTTTAATGAATTGATGAATAAATGAGTGAATGATAAGAATAACAATAGCTAATACTTATTGAGCACTTATTATGTGCTGGTGCCTACATATTGATTAATTTGTTCCCACAAAAACTTTGTAAGTTAGGTAATACATAGATCTAGAAACTGAAGTGTAAGGAGTAAATTAAATTTCTCAAGATCATATAGTGGGAGTTTAAACTAAGATTTTAACTAAAGCCAAATTTAATACCAGAGTGTATGCTCTTAACCGCTATGCTTTATTGAGTTAAAAAGGATGGTGGGGGCAGGCGTGGTGGTTCACGGCTGTAATCCCAGCACTTTGGGAGGCCAAGGTAGGCGGATCACCTGAGGTCAGGAGTTTGAGACCAGCCTGGCTAACATGGTGAAACCCCGTCTCTACTAAAAATACAAAACTTAGCCAGGCATGGTGGGGAGCACCTGTAATCCCAGCTACCTGGGAGGCTGAGGCAGGAGAATTGCTTGAACCTGGGAGGCGGAGGTTGCAGTGAGCCAAGATCATGCCATTGCACTCTAGCCTGGGATACAAGAGCGAAACTCCAACTCAAAAAAAAAAAAAAATAGATTGTTGCTCACACCTGTAATCCCAGCACTTTGAGAGATAGAGATGAGATAATTGCTTGAGACCAGCAGTTCAAGACTAGCCTGGACAACATAGTGAGACCCCCATCTTTGCAAACAAAAAAAAGAAAAAAGTTAGCTACACATGGTTGTGCATGCCTGTAGCCCCTGCTACTTGGGGGGCTGAGATGAGAGGATTGCTTGCGTCCAGGAGTTTGATGCTGCAGTGAGTTATGATCGTGCCAATGCACTCCAGCCTGGGTGACAGAGCAAGACCCTGTCTCTGAAAAGAGAAGAAAGAAAATGTTGACACAGAAAAAGAAATCAGATAAAATTTGGAAACAAAAATAGTTTTCTTATAATAAAGAAAGTTATTGAAGAATATATCAAAACAAAAAAAGGACTCAAAAATTTCATAGAAGACATCTATCAAATTGTCAAAAAAGTTATTCTCAACATGAAGTAACTTTTCTAAAAGCAAAAAAGATAATTCTATAAAGTTTTCACTTTATATTTTACTTTATGTTTATATTTCACTTTACAGTTTTACTTCATATTTTACTTATGACTATCAATAGCAATTTTTTTCAATAAAATATTAGCAAATATAATCCAATACCGCATGAAAAATAATTCACTAGGATTGAGGGGGATTTATTCCAGAAATGTTAGGATGGTTTAATTTTTTAAAAACCATAACTATAATTTGTCATCTTAATATATCTAAGAAGAAAAATCATATGATGGATACTTAAAAAGCTTTAACAAAATTGAATACCTATTCTTGACTGAGAAAAAGCATCTATAGACTATGGTATCATAAATCCTCTTTAGGTGAAACAGTGTTAAACTGGTACATGAACAGACAGACAGACATTAAAGTGGAAGTCCCTCAAATTGGCCCAAGTAAATTTGGAAATTTACTGCATTATGAAGGTGGCGTCCAAATCGTTTTTTCAATAAGTAGATTGGAACAACTGGTTAGCCATTTAAAAATGACAACACTGATTCCAAAATGAAGATCATGTAAAGAAATAAACTGCAAATCCATCCAATATCTAAATGCAACAAATGAAACTATATGTTACTAGAAAAATAAGAAACCTTTTTTTTTTTTGAAAATGGGGTGACTTTATTTAATATGGATCAGATTTACATAACGTCTATGGAAATAACATAAAGCTTATTATTCTGTGCTGTCTCTCATTTGGGTTAGACAAGGTACAGAACTGTTCTAAGTTGTTTTTGTTGTTGCTTCTAATGCTATCACTAAGGGAGAAAACAGACAATATTTAGACAGGGAAAATGGCTTCTGTGCTAACATATTCAAGCACGGTAAATTCTGTGCACATTGCATATTATTGAATATAAATAATTTTTTTATTTCTACAAGGTAGAATTTATAAAATTATTTATATTCAATAATAGGCAATAAGAAACATCATTGCATAAAATATTAAGTCAAAATTAAAAATGAGAGAATATTTACAATCTATTCATAATTAGATGAATCGCTTTAATTCTTAAAGATATCTTAAAATCAAGGTAAAAAAGGCTATAATCTCCACTGAACATTAAACAAAAATATGAATGGAAAAATGCATTAAAATCGGTACTAAACATATAGAAATATACTCAGCTTTACGCATAAGAGAAACAGAAATTAAAACTGCACTAAGCTATAATTTCTCACATATAGGATTAGCTAAAATTGATAATACACTCCTTTGGTGAGCCTGTGGGATTGTGAGAAAACAGATCTCTCAGCACCTCCATTGGTGGTAGGAGGATAAAATGGTACATCTGCTCTGCAGAGGAATTTAGTAATACGTGACAAAATTATATATGTATTTACCATTTAACTTAGCCTTCTTACATCTAGGGATGTACTTTATAAGTAAACCTCCTTAAATACAAAACATGTCACCAGATTATTCTCTGGGGCATTCTCTGGGGCAATGTACATCACAGTAAAAGATGAGAAATTAATGTCCATTGGAGACTGGTTGAATATTTTTGGCACATTCACGCAATACGGTGAAGAGGAATGAGGAATATTTGTATGAATATAGTGTTAATGAATAAAGCATGGTTCAAAAGAGTATTTATGATGTACTAACATTTGGGCAAGAAAGAAGAAATAAAAATATATGCTTATTTTTGCAAACAAAATTGAAATAGAATGTAGGAGACTGGATGGGAATATGGTTTCTCTTCTACTATTTTTCATTTTTGAACCAGGAAAAGGTTTTACATGTTCAACAAAATTATAATGTAAAGAAGCAAACCATGAAATTGAATGCATATGAAACTCACTGTATATTTGTAAAAACATAGAGTTTTATTATGTGGTTTTCTTAGTCATATAAAGTAATCCAAGTGACTTTTGAACACAGTACATAAACTTTACCCATTAACTGGATCTACTGTGACATTTAAAAGGAATGCAAAAAATCTTAAATTTTACTTACTAAATTTGCCATCGTTGGTAGTTACATTGATGTTGAAATTTGAAACTGTTTTAATCTATTTTATATTTGCTGTAAGGGAGAGCATATAAGTAAATATACTGGTGGTGTTGAGAACCAGGGTTTTCAATGGGGAAGGGAGATACAACTTTGAAATAAAGAAAAGTGAGGAGAGATCTAATTGGAGTTGGACTTGAATTTAATGTATGAGTATGAACTCATACGTTTTTTATGTTTATATACATAAACTTATATAACCACCACCATCATCAAGATACAGAATAGTTTTTTCAAATACCCTTGTTTTTCCTTTTTAGTTAGTTCCTCCCCTGTACTCAACCACTGCTAAACACAGTAAATCCACAATTTAAAAATATATATGTATGTGTGTATACATATGTTCTACCTCTGTTCACTGAAATGCCTAGGAGCCCTGATAACTCGTTAACAATAAGCACACAAAGAGCCCACATCTTGGTTTCTATATTTCATTTCCAACCAAAGTCAAGTCCTCTTAGAAAAATGACAGATTTGGGTCAGGGAAAGTACAAGATGAGCCTAGGACATATTGTTATGCCAGAAGACAAGAAAATATTCGAAAACAAATGAAGTCATGTTAAAACAACATGGAAGCCCATCTGAAGGGATTTTCACAGGCCAGCTATGGAGTATTTTAAGCATCCAAAAGAATAATAAAATTTAAAAAAAAAGAATCCATGAATCCAAATTAGCACACACATACACACAACACTGGATGAAGTTATTGGCATGTACGTTATTAATTCAATCTGAAAATGTTACCAAATAGATAGCTTGTAACTTATGAAAAAACAAAAACTGATCTTTATAAGAAAAGAAATACATGTGTAGCACAAATCCTAACCAAATGATAAACCTTGGTATCACTAATAATGAGACAGCCTGACATTTGTGTCTCTTTAAGTGCTCACTCCATGAGAAGTATTTTTGCCAATCACGTTCAACCTGGAGCTCATCATAAGAAAGCAATCAGACCAATTTGAAATGTGGAACATTCTTCAAGATAGCCAGTTTGGCTCAAAAAATTTTTACTATTATGAAAATTTATAAAGCCATAACAAATGTTTTGAAGACAATTGAGAAAGCTTAAATATAGGCTTCATATTAGATAATATTACTGAGGGTTTTATTTTGGCTGTAATGATGGTGCTTCTATTCTGTTGAAGAATATCTGATTGTTAGTATCTGTTGACATATTTAGGGATAAAATGCCATGAAGTCAGATTCTTACTTTCAAATGGTTGGAAAAAAAAGTGTGTGTATGTGTGTGTGTGTGTGTGTGCATGTACATGTACACAGATCCTAGTATGTAATTAGGATCCCACTGGCCAAATTTTATTTTCAGCTTAAAATAATAATAAACATAATTCAGAGAGAGAGAAAACACAAGCAACTATGGCAAAATGTTAATGATGAATCTAGGTAAGGGTATATGGTATATATACCTCGTACTATTTTTCCAAGTTTCCCTTATACTCATATATTTTCCAAATTAAACAAATGAGTACAAAGACACTAGAAGAAAATTTCTAAAAATGTAAATGTAATACAGCACAATGTATTTCACAGGAGAAAAAACATTTTGGCTACAGATAATTGCTATTTTCTGATATCAATTAAACATCCAAGTTTCACATTCCTGTTTAACACACATTATTAAATATAATCAACCATATTGTTTCATCTTCATGTCTCATCAGCTACAATGACACTATAGTTCTACTTGACTTGAAGAAAAACTCTTATAAAAATTTTGTGACACATAAGAATGTGAAGTAATTCCTCACTTTACAAAGACATTTGCTGAATTGTTTCTTTAGCTAATGAATTCTCTCAGGACTCTAATGAACATATCAATGGATAAAACAAAATATATACCAACCATTACTGAGACTGTGTGTGTTCAAAAGGATGCTTTTTGGGAGATACTAGTATATTCAGTGAAATTGTTCTTTTATTTATTAAACATATCATCAAATTATTCCTTTAAAATTTTTGTTTACTTCCATATAAATTGTACAAAATTAATCTATTTTTAGTCAATTTCATAAGCCAAAAATTTTTATACCAATCTACATAACAACCAAAGGGTTGGTGGAAACAGGGAGCTGAGGAAAATGTATTTTTCCAAACTCTATAGACATTTTGAAGGGGTTATTCTTTAGTCTTGATGTCAATCAGTGATGTTCCTGTTCATATAATCTGGTGTTGATATTTAATGTGATTGTTTTAGATGGGCGTCTGTGTGGTTAAACTCAGGGTCACTGAAAAGAACAATTTCTACCTTCACTGTTTAGTGGGAAATTTTCATTTTAAAGTTCTATCTTCTGACTTATGATCTGCTTTCTCCTCAGCTGCTTTGAATGATTGCTTTTCTTCTCTGTGGTGCTATCCGCATAAAGTTGCTAACTATCACAGGAATATTTATTATTCTAAAATGTGCTCATAGATCAAGTCAATACACATATTTCAAATTCATATTCTCTTCGACTTTCCAATTTCCCTTCTATAACATTGCTATTTATATACCATTTAATCTCTGAAGAGCTCAACTACTCTTTTCTTTATACATTCCAGGTAATGGAAATGTCAGTGGGAGGCTAGGTGGTGGGGCATACCTGACAAGGCTGTTTAAAATATGCTTTATTTCTTCATTTATTTAGTTGTCTTGAACCCTAAACAGCAAAGTTTTAGAGAAAATACATGGACAATAAAAACAACATTTTTGATTTATTAGAAAAGTAAAGTCTTCATTCTTAGAAAAATTCTGGAAGCTAAAAGTTATGTAACTTAAAAACCATATATGAATTACAATATCTTGCATATCAAATAATATCTCTTCTACATGCCTTGAATTGAAAGTCTTTGGTGTCCTTCACTTGTGCTAAAGAAATCCACTCAGCTACTCTGTAAGGAGTGAAGCTTCCATCAACTTCTGTGAATTGAAACCCAGTGAGATTAAAAGCTGAAGGATTTTCCCAGAACAATTTTCGTATCTTACCTGTATTCCACATGCCCTTCTGCCAGATGGATTTCCATCTTATCGTCATTGTTCTCAAAGCAATTCTTCAGAAATGACCCACAAAGTCACTTTTACTGAAATTACTTTCAACTTGCTTAGGCAATTTGGAAGCACTTTAGTAACAATCTCTAAATAAATTGTTTTTATATGTAATTAAAATTGAGGGTTTGAGAGTTTGTTTCCTAAGTTCACCAATGATTAGTCCTATTTGGCTTTTCCCAAAAGGAAGGTATTCCTTTCTTGTACAGGAACTACTTTCCTAATTTTAAGTAAATTGAACCAACTTTTCTTCAAAACTAAAAACTTGTATTTCCTAATCTGATTTATGAAAAAAAATTCCTCCTTCAAAACATCTTAAGATTTATTCCCTTCTCGACTCACTCTAGCTGCATCCAAGAAAAACTTGCAGTGTGAAGCACTGTACATGGTATTTACAGTTTTCTTATTTAATTACTCAACAATCTCTTAATATTTGTGTATCTAATTAAGAACCAATACTCACTAGGCATCCTGTTTGTATGTTTCATTGAGAGCTTTACATAACACACCTCATAATTCTACAGATGTAATTTTCATCTAGAGTGAAATAATAGTCCTTGTGTTCACAATAATGGCTAGTATATATCTCTTATATTACAGAAAGCATGCAGCAGGGATATACTTTTCATTCCACTAGTATATACACATATACATCATTTGACAAATATTTATTAATAAAGCAGCCAAATACTATACTGAATTTGCCACTAAAATGTTAAAGTTAATTTAAATCATACTGATAAAGACATTAACTCAGCTGAGGCATCAGTTGATTATCAAAGATTATATTATATATCAGAGATTCCTCAAGTGAATACCACATAGAGAAATGTGCAACTCTTGGGAATTCTGGAATAGGTGTTTATGAAATACTGTTATAGCAGCCTAAAGGAATTAAACTAGGCTTATGTGATGATCATAGCTAGAGCAGGCTCAAACGTGTTTTGACTGAATTTGCTATAATGCATTTGCATTTCAGATTTTAATGTTTATATCTTTGTGGCCTGATATTTGGGACGAAAACAACCTAATTTTACGGTACTATTTATTCTCCAGCATACAGATGGAATGTCATCTGATAACTAGCATGTATTACCTTGCATTAAAAGGCACCAAAATTGTTTGTCCATGGATGCACTACATTACTCATCTTTGCCAAAAGGGAGATTGAAGACTAACAATGCAGAAAGAGCATACAAAAAAAGTGGAGAAGAAAGAGTATGAAATCTTCAGAAAAATATAAAAGGACATAGTTTAAATGGAAATGAGACAGTGCTCTTTGCCTTAGAGAGAAGCTGTATTAGTCTGTTCTTGCACTGCTATAACTACCTAAGACTGGGTAATTAATAAAGAAAAGGAGTTTAATTGACTCACAGTTCTGCAACTGTACAAGAAGCATGGCTGGGGAAGCCTCAGAAAACTTACAATTATAGAAGAAGGTGAAGGGGAAACAGGCACATCTTACATGGCTGGAGAAGTAGGAAGGGAGCAAAGGGGGAGCTGCTACACACTTTTAAACAACCAGATCTCGAGAGAACTCACTCACTGTCAAAAGAACAGCAAGGGGAAGTCTGCCCCCGTGATCTAACCACCTCCTGCCAGGCTACTCCTGTAACACTGGGGATTACAGTTGGATACAAGATTTGGGCGGGGACACAAATTCAAACCATATCAGAAGCTGATTCAAATTACATTTTTTAAAAAAAACATATTTTGACTTATTCTACCTGAATAACTAAGGGGTGGCATGAACTCTCTACACAGCTGGCTCTCAGAATTAAAATTATATCATGAGACCTTTTTATTTAGTCCATCCGTAGTCTCTTGGTTTGCCTCATGTCTAAGCAAGCTTTCTTTCTGGGCAGCAAAAACAGCTCATGGCAGTTCCATATTTATGTAGCCTTTAGCAATTATGGTCTCAGATATGTCAGGATACTTCTATTCCTCTGTGTCCAGACTGATCCTACCAAAAGACTCTGGCCCTTCTTGGGACATGTGCCCATCACTGGTTGAATCACTGTGCTAGGATAGTGAGGTACCCTGATTAGACAGGCTGCCTAATATGTTCATGCCGTGATTTTGTAAAGAAGAGATGCTGGGTAGGCAAAAATAGATAGCTAAGTAGATAGGAAGATAGATAATAAAGATGACAAAAAGACAGGTGGATAATAGATAAATAAATGGGAGAGAGAGAGAGAGAGGAGAGACATAATTGATAGACATTCACTTCACTAAAACTGTGTGTCCAGATTTGTACTATACAGTGTGATATAAAAAATGTATATCCTTGATCAATTTCCCCATTCTGGTTTTCTTTCCTGTTGTTCTGCTTATTTGTCTATGCATATATTTTAAAAATCAGTGCTGCATAGTGGCACATGCTTATAGGCAGACAGATATAATGCCTTTGAATCCTCTGCTAGGGACTAGCAATATGACCTAGAGCAAATTACTTAGCCATTCTAAACTTTGTTTTTTTGGTCATATGTAAATGGGGATGAAAATATTTACCTTATAAGGGATTTACTAAATTAAGTGGAATAATATATTTAAAGTGTTCGGCACAGCACCTGGCATACAGAAATCTGTTATTACATAGATGTTATCATGAGTACTAGTTGTACTTTTATTATTTGCTTTCTGTATACATGTTCTTGATCATTCTCTAAGGCTGTATTAGACATCACTAAGCCCATTCATTGCTGCTTAGATATTAGTTAGAGCAAGAATATTGCTGGCGCATGCATTGGTGATACTGTTATTATGCACTGGACACCACTAACATTCTTTCTAATGTCTACCAGCCAGGCAGAAGCACCTATGCAGTCATGCTGAATATTTCTGTGTATACACATGAAATTTAGAACAATGTTATGCATGTTCACCTCTGTCTAGCTGCAGTCCTTTAAAGTTGGGCATACACAAAGTTTACACAATAAGGGATACCTGTTGGGAATAGAGAGATTTTCTTTTCTGACTTGTTTGCTGAAGTTCCTAGGAAAAAGATAAACACTGTAACGTTATATTCAGTATGAAAGCTATGCTTACATTGGGGAGCACTGCTTTCAGAAGCATTGAATGTGCATGACCATTCGATGACAAGTTTTCTTTTGAAAAATATACCATTCGGATAGATTTGATGAGCCTAATTTTGAGACATATTTTTTTTGGTGGAGGAAATCAAATCTGTTTGTTGTGACTATAATAGGAAGGGCTTCTTCCATGTTCTCTTATAAGAAGTCATTCTTAAACTTGAAGTTTCCTCCCTTTAAGAAAATAACTTTTATATTAGAAAAGAATTGCTTCTATGAATTTATTTAAATTGGTTTCCTATTCCATTTCAATTCTGTTTTCAATTGCCAATGTGAGACATCTACACCCTAATGAGCAAAGTCTGAAGAGTGTTGGTTCAGTGAAATATAAATTTTTCAGTATTTCACTGGATAAAAAAGATGTACTTATAAAAATTTTACCAAGTATATCCCTAATTTTGCAAAAAATATTTTCCATAATATGAGTATGGCCAGAGAGTAGGATACACGTAGATGACTGAGGTTACAAAGAAGCAAGGCTCTTGTTTTTATGATACTTTGAATTTCTTTACGGGCTCTCCCAAGGCAATATGCCACCAGTATAAGATACATTGAATGATGATAAAAAAGATGATGCTTAAAAAAGGATGATTCATTTTTCTTGTTATTTTATGTATTTTCAAAACTTAAGATACAAAATAAAAAATATAAAAGTAACCAAAACAGAATTTTAAAAATCAAGAGGCTACTTTTAATAACTCAACGCAAGTAAATTTAAAAATCTATACAAAATGGAAAATTGTCTGGAAAAATATAATTTACCAAAGTGATCAAAAGTGTAATGAGATCAATTTCTCTATTTGTTAAGTTAGAAAAACTCTTAATGTATTTAGCTCTTCTTTAAAAAGTCATTTGACAAAGCTTAAAAGTTTCATGAATATAGGTCTTATATATCTTTCTTAGATTTATTCCTAGTTATCTTATGTTTTTATTGCAACTATTGTAACATACTTACAAAGTTTCCTTTTCTATCTCTTTATTATGATATATAGAAATTAAGTATATTGATCTTAGAGACAACTATATTGCCACCTTTCTTACAATTTCTAATAATTTGTCTATAAGGACTTAAGAGGTTTTTTTTGTTTTGTTTTTTTGAGACGGAGTCTCGCTCTGTCACCCAGGCTGGAGTACAGTGGCCCGATCTTGGCTCACTGCAAGCTCCGCCTCCCAGGTTCCCCCCATTCTCCTGCCTCAGCCTCCTGAGTAGCTGGGACTACAGGCGCCCGCCACCATGCCTGGCTAATTTTTGTATTTATAGTAGAGATGGGGTTTCATCGTGTTAGCCAGGATGGTCTCGATTTCCTGACCTCGTGAACCACTCGCCTCGGCCTCCCAAAGTGCTGGGATTACAGGCGTGAGCCTCCACGCCTGGCCAAGAGTTTTTTATGTGACAATCATATCTATGATTTATCTCTAATTCTTACTTATACCATTGACTTCCTCTTTATTGTCTTACCTCACTAGCTAGTATACATAGTACCTCTAGAACTTCCAGTACAATGTTGCATAGAAACAGTGCTAGTGGGAATGCTTCAGACATTTTATATATTAAGAATAAATACTTGGCTGGGCGCCGTGGCTCACGCCTGTAATCCCAGCACTTTGGGAGGCCGAGGCAGGCAGATCATGAGGTCAGGAGTTCGAGACCAGCCTGGCCGACATGGTGAAACCCCGTCTCTACACTAAAGATACACAAAATTAGCCGGGTGTGGTGGTGTGCACCTGTAATCCCAGCTACTCAGGAGGATGAGGCAGGAGAATCGCTTGAACCCGGGAGGTGGAGGTTTTAGTGAGCTGAGATGGTACCACTGCACTCCAGCCTGGGTGACAGGGTAAGACTCTGTCTCAAAAAAAATAAATAAATAAAAATAAATAAAATAAAAATAAAAATAGAATGAATACTTGCTATAAGCCTTCTTGGTCATAAACAGAAATTGAATTTCATAGAACAGTTTTGCTGCATTCCTTAAGACACTGTTAATCACTTTTATTCTTTAAACAATTTCAGTGTTGAACACAAGTTATTTCTGAAATAAGCTAAACTTACTCATGATGTACTGTCATGCTTATATGGCTGGATTTGCTGATACTCTGTAGAATGTTGGTCTATATTAATGAGTAAGATTAGTCTGTGATTTACATTTGTCACACTTTGTGTTTTGTTATAAATATTACACTAGTCTATTAAAATGAATGGTCTGTAAACTTTTTTCTCTTCTCTAAAGAGTTTTGTGAAGGATATTTATCTGTTTCATGAAGTTTCACTAGACTTGTGAAACCAAGTGGGCCAGTTGGTTTCTTTGTTAGAAGATTTTAAACTATGTATTGAACTTCTTTATTGGTAATTGAATCTGATTCTTGAATAACTGTTAGTAAGTTATATTTTTCTTCCCATTTTAAAAAAAATTTTTGAGATGGTGTCTCACTGTCGCCCAGTCTGGAGTGCAGTGGCACGATCTTGGCTCACCGCAACTTCCGCCTCCTAAGTTCAAGCGATTCTCCTGCCTCAGCCTCCCAAGTAGCTGGGATTATAGGCGTGCGCCACCATGCCCGGCTAATTTTTGTATTTATAGTATAGATGGGGTTTCACCACATTGGCGAGGCTGGTATCAAACTCCTGACCTCCAGTGATCTGCTGCCTCAGCCTCTCAAAGTACTGGTATTACAGGCGTGAGCCACCCTGCCTGGCCATGACTTTTTAAAAATAAATTTTGTTGGCATAAAGTTGTTTGCATTATTTTCTTATCTTTTCAGACTCTATGAATTCTGGGGTTATGACTACTTTTCATTTGTAATACTAATTATCTCTTACTTTTCCTTATTCTTGATGTTGAGAGAGATTAAACTTTTTATTAATGTTTTAAAGAAACAAACTTTTGGCTTTGTATTTATATCTTTTTAATGTCATTGCTTTGGATGCACACACATTTAAACTAGTTTCATTTTGCTATTTCAAATGAACTTTTTAGCACTATGCAGTAATCTTTTTGATAACCTAAAATTGCCATTTTTCTTAAAGTCAGTTTTGTCTGATCTTAGTATTGCTCCTTAAGGTTCTTTTAATTAGTATTTAAGACTGGTAGGCTTTTTCCATTTCTTTACTATGAATATGTTTTGACAAGTACTTGAAAATATCATTTAAGACAAATTCTGAGGAAGTGAGGTGTTATCTAATCAATCGCTTTTATTTTTTGTGTGTGTTTTCTATTTTATTGCTTTCTAGCTCTTGAGTTTTTTGATTGGGTTTCTTTATTTTTCTGAATTTATTATTTTCTTCTCCTGGTATATCCTCTCTTTCTGTTCCTTTGGTGATTATCTCAGAGGTTTACCATTATATTCGAACTTATTCCAGTTTAAAGTTAATATCATAATTTACACTCTCAAACAATATAAGGATATTTATAACACATTATTTGGATCAATCATCTCTCATTTTACAGGCAAAGTTTTGTCCAATAATTTATTTCTCTTCCTTTCTCAAATGCCATAAATTAGATATTTTACTTAAAAATATCTGTTTGGATTTCACTACTTATTTACCAATTTCTTTTTTTTACCACTGTTCCACAATCATCATGGGCATTCCTCCTGAGAAAATTTATTATCTTGCTGAAATAGATTCTTTGGTAGGTCCCTCAATATAAGTTCATTTATGGTTTTATATTTAAATAATATATATGTATATGCATTCTGAAAATATCTTAATCTGCCTTCCATCTTGATGCATATTTTTTCTGAGAACACGATTCTAAGTCAAAAATTATTTTCTCTCAGCCCTCAAATATGTTATTTTATTCCCTGCTGACTTTTATTGTTGCTGTTGAGAAATCTACTTTCAGTCTAATTGTCATACTTTTGTAAAGGTTTTGGAACTGTTTTGGCCAATGACAAGTGAGCAGAAGAGATATGTATCACTCGAGATTGAGATGGTGAAAAGTCCTGTGTATTGCTCCATTTCTTTCATCTCTGTTCGAAGCAAACATGAAGACTTTGGATAGAGGTGGCAGAGAGTGTCAAGATCAAAGCAGTTTAGATTACTGAACTCACTACATGAAGAACAGAAGAAGAGAACTGAGAGCATCCACTTGACTAATGGCAAACTTTTATGCCATGGAGATGGATAGAGTTTGTTTTACAACAGCACAGGCTAAACTAACTAATATACAATATATCTCAATATATTGTCTCTCTTCTATTATCTCTGTATCCTCCTTCTGGGAATACAATTAAACATAGTTAGAACTGCTATTCTATCATTCATAAATCTTATTTTCTTTTTCATAGTTTTCATCTTGTCTCTGTATTATATTTTGTGCTATTTCTGTACATCCATTTTTCAGTTTGTTAACTTTCTCTTCAGTTATATATGATCTAACTAACCCATTTATTCAGTTTTTATTTATCAATCATATTTTATGAGGAAAGTTCTATCTTGTATCTTTCAAATCTCCTAGGTATTATTTTTGGTTATTTCTTTTTACATGCTCATTTTTCTAACTCTTTTATGTCTTCATGTATTTTGTATAGAATTATTTTCTATTATCTATCTGAAAATTCTAACATCAGAATTCTTTGGAGATGTACCTTTATTGTTTATTCGGCTGATTCTCATTCATAGTAGTTTATTTTCTTGAGTGTATGGTACACTTCAATTGAGAGTCATAGATGTTAATCTATGGAAAATCTAGACAACCAACATTATGATGTTTTTTTCCAGGGAGGATTTGCTTTTATATTTTTTTTGAACCCTGGTTTTAATGCAGACTGGGGTCATTTTATTACCCTTCTGAGTTCAATCCATGAGGCTCAGGTTCAGCCTCCCTACTCTGCAGCTAATCCAATGCTTAGTCTCTTGGTTATGGCGCTAATATAAGTATTTGCCTTTCAAGAAAAACCTAATTTAGGGCTTACTGCTGAAGAATCAGCTTCCTGTTCTATTTCTTGAACACTTTGCATGCTTCCTTAAATCTGGGACCAAGCAAAATAATAAAATATATTTTATACTAGATATAGGTATTTTTTAGCAGGTAGAATTTTAGCAAGTCCAGTCTGCCATTCTGCTCCACCTTCTATTTTTATATTTCTTCCAATCCCTAATACTACTGGTAAACATAAATTTAGGGAAGCCTTACCTGTATCCTAACAAATGCTATTTGACGTAGTTGTAAAAGAAATTCGCAGAAGCATTATGTTTTAATGGATAATATGCAAGCTTTGAAGTTAAATAAACATCTTAAATCTTTGATTTGTGACTTAAGGCAAGTTATTTGTAGTTCATAAGCCCCAATTTTATCATTTACAAATAAGATTAATAAAATTTATGTTACAAAAATGTTACGATGATTTGAGAATATATATGTCTATATATGTGTGTGTATATATTTATATAGTATTAGATACATGGGCAATAAATAGAAACTTTTATTCAGAGTACATATTTTCCTCTGTGTGTATATGTAACTTGGTTACTAAACCTATCAATTTGTTAAGATGCTGTTAAAATAAATTACAACATAGTATACAAAAGACCCTGAGTTAATTTTAGCTGCTACATAGAATGAGCAAGAGAGAGAGGAAGAAATTAATTGTCCACTCTAATTCTGCGTATCTATATAACCCATAAATCTGGAGCTTGAATTCCAGTTTAAAATAATGACATGAATATGATATTAACACGGGAACTTTAAAAACTCTAATCTCCTAAATGTTACGTTAGCCTTTTTATAGATATTTTTTCCATAATAACTTGAATAACAGATAAATTACTAAGTGCTCTTATTAGTATTTGAGTAACAAGGTAATTTCTTCACCCTGATGAATAAAGGAAGGGAGCTAAATCCGATTTTAAACTAAAGGTGTTACTCACATTGCAGTCACATTTTTTTTTTTTGCATCTTTAATCAAAATTCCAAACTACAATAATGACATATCTTTAATCAAAATTCCAAACTACAATAATGACATAAATAGTCCATGAAGTAGGCTAATGCTGAAATGAAAACATAACAGTGACCTCAAACAAATGTTGTATAGATGATTTGCCAAACTAGCTAGATTCCTTAAAAAAAAAAAAAAAAAAAAAAAAAAAGACTGTAAATTCAGGTAACAGAGCTTTGCAAATAGCTTTTGGCCACTTTCTTTTTTGTGATCTTTGACTTTGCATCTTTTGCAAACTAGAGAGGAAATAATTTCTGTTGGATGTGTAGGTGGTATAAAAATCATATTATAATAAAACAAAACTGAACTCTCATGAGCTGTTTGGCATAAATCCCTCCTGCCATAATCAGGATTTTCATGCATGCCAGACTGTTGTTTTTGCTAATTTGTAGTAAGCTTAATTATAATAATAGTTAACATGCATTATTCGCCTGCATTATCTCATTTAAATTTTATAATACCTATAAAGTGAGTACTACGATAATCTCCACCTACAGATGAGATGAGAAAAGAGGAGCAGAGACTGTTTATGGTGGAAATGGCAAATGGTGAGAGAAGGGAGAAGAAAAGAATTGGCCCCATGGCCTTTTCTAACCAGCCTCACTTTTGTGCTGTACATATATTGGCTATATCTCCAGTTCCTAGTCTATCTTCCCAGAATCTTGGGTTGATATTTTTAGATAATTTGAATGGATATATAAGCAGAATGCTCATCAAATAACTCAGAGTTGACTGGGATAGTAACAATGTTGCATAACAGAATTAAGATTATCAAACATGTTAGCCACCTTAAATAATCGACTAAATCTAATACGATAAAACCTAGAGGGAGAGTAAAAGACACAAAATATATAGAAATGAGAAATTATAGATACGTGATTTCGCAGAAACATGTCTTAATTTAAGGATTTTCATTTACCTGAAGTTTAAAATAGATGGCAATATTGATGATAAAGACAGAGATAGAAAAATTGCTTAGAAATAAAAGCTTCTTCCTCTTTTAAGGAGCAAGAAAAGGAAAGTGTAATTTAAATTTTGAAAAGAAACATCTTTTTAAAACCTAGTAAATGGGGGAAAAATACAAGAGTAAGAATGTGTGTCTGGAAAAAACTAGAGGATTCTACAAATGAGAGATTATTCTGAGAGAAGTGTTTAGGATTTAGATGAATCTGGAGATAGATAATTTAGAATGCTGTTAAAATCATCTCAGTGCATTAACTTTATAGCAATGATTATGAAACTAGAAGGAAGAAGATAGATTTGAAAAGACCAGTAAAGAATGGATCAGCCTGACAAATGACTGAATATGAGAGGTGAACAAAATGTCAAGTCTGACATGAAGATTCTTGCCTTGGGTGATCAAGTGTTCCATTCTTCTAGCATCATCCGTTCAGTTAATAGTCAATTAAAATATCTCAAGCTCCCATGGAGTCTAACTGCAGAAAATCCAATACCCTTTTGCCTCTCACGTTCAGATTAGGACTCCTGCTTATAGCAGCTCTGTTGATCCCTTCCTGCCATGTTACCAGAAGCAATATTGCAATATGTCAAGAGCATGGACCTGACACTTCCTAACGGAATGCTCTTGGGAAAGTTATTTAATCTTTCTATGTCACACTTTCCGCAACTACAAAATGCTGACAACTAATTATACAACCCTAATGGCATGTTCATTCATTCATTCCACAAATATTTATTAATCACCTATACAATGTGCTCACTGTATCAAATTCTCAAAGAACCTGTCTCCTGCAGAAAAAAAAATTGTTAAAATCATATTTTGAAATATTTGAAATAATAATATTTCATCTAAAGAAGACAACCTCTTACTTTATTGTGCAGAATAATTTTGATCTTCTTTGACTTGTGTTGGCCAAACTAAAAAGCCTATTTTAATGTTTTCTCAGAATGAAGAAAAAGCAGACAATCGAACTTCCCACTCCCACACCATCTACACACACTAAAAAAATCTGTCTAGACTGTGGAAATGTTTACTGGTAGACTTACTTAACACCACATTTTTCCTCATTATATAATTAATTGTGATGAGAGCCAGCAGGATGGGAGGCTTGTGGTGTGTGTTTGTTTGTGTGTGTGTGTGTGTGTTTGCTAGTGTGATGTAAATTATGAGTAGTTTAGGACATATTGAGCTTCAAGTGCCAGCAGCATTTTTTTAATAAAATTGTTCAGAAGGCATTTAAATTGGAAATGTGTTTCTTTTATTTTTTTAAATAGTCGCATAGAGTATACTAGAAACTGATTTTGAGAAACTAAGGATATAATAAGTGAACAACAAATGCTAGTTGAATGGTTTGAAATTAAGAGCTCTGTGTTTCAGAAAATAGAAATAGAGAAACAAAACTATTTAGAGTTAATTCAAGAGAAATCTATTCAGTCTTAGAGTCAAAACTCCTCAATAATTTCCACTTGTCTATTAAAAACTTTGAATCCTTAGCCCAGCATTCAAGATCCTCAGTTAGCTGGCATTCTTTGCCATGTCTAACACTTACTTACTTAATTATCCTTAGCTCCAGCTGATCTGGAAATCTCATACCTCTATCTTTATGTTTTCAAATTCTCTCCTAAATCTAGAAATACTGATCTTTTCCAGACTCCAAATATCCAGTTCTCCTCCATCTATCGAAGGCCATATTTTCCACAAATATTTTCTTACTGATTCAAAATAAACTGTCTTATCTATCCCCTCTCTGAACTATCATAGTGATTGTATCTAAATATGGCAGAATCCCATCTTTCTGTGGGTAACCAATATTGATGACATAAATCTGTCATTCTCACAAATAGTTTATAAACTCTTCAAGAATAAGAAATCATTTGTGATTCCTCCATAGTTTCTGACATATGGTAGATATTTAATAAATGTTGGTTAAACGACCAGAAATATACCTGTTGCTCTGGACAAATAAAATTTGTGAGTTAAAAACTGATTTCTCAAACTCACTCTTAGATTTTTACCAGGATTATTATTAAATTATTTTATACCAATAATATCTATACCATAGCATTTTTTCAGAAAATAATGTTAGCCTCCATTTTGTTCAGAAGTAAACATATCCTAACTTTTTCAGTGCCTCAAGCATTTTTCAAGGTAGAGGCAGCCATGACTAATACACTGAGGTGAGTCAAGAAGAAAGCAAGACCCAGAACTTCAAGCCACATCAATTCAGTGGAGTTTTTAACAGACTGTATTTTTTTAAACCATGAATTTTGAAATATGCAATGCTATACCATTTCTTACTTAAATGGTTTCAGGTCAAATGTCTATAAGCTTTAATAGAAATTCTCCAAAAGCAGTAATACCATGTCCAGGGTTTTCAGTGGGTGTTCTCCATATTGTGGTGTGCTGCCCAGATATTCCCTTCAGGACAAAGGTACATATTCCCCCAGCTGCCAGGAGTATTGGCTCCTGGCAGTTCACACTTTTGTTTCTCCCTAGGAATTGCCATCAACCAAAGGGAGCTATGTTGCTCATGATGACATCCCATCCACCGTAGCAGCCTACATTCAATGACTGGTTGAAGTGGAAGAACCACAGCCCAGTTTGGGAAACTCTGAAGATCTATGCCAGCTTCAGAGCTCCTTGTGCAAACAGCCTCTGTTTTGTCATTGCACCAGAATTCAACTTCTTATACCCACTCCAGCTTCCCTCAATCCCTCATAATTTTTGCTCTTAGCACAAATACCAATATATTACTTGCATATGCATCGGCATCTCAAGTCTATTTCCAGGGAACCCAGCCTAAGACACGAAAGAATACCATGATTAAGTAGGCAATAAATAAATGTACTTTAAATACTCAAAGGTTTTAAATTGTTTTTTCATAGACCATATAAAGTTATTTATTTTTCTTAAAGTGCTGGAACAAGATAAACTGTAAATGTTTACTAAGGCGGTTTTCATGCATGGTATTCCAATTTTCAATTCATGACTCCTACACTACATAAGCAAAGCCTTCAGAAATGTCAAGTGATCAAATACGGCAGACACAGAACCTTCCAACTAGTGAACTGACATCTAGTCAAAATATGAAAAACCAAACTAGTGACATTGAATTTCACTCCAGGATATTCCAACATGAATAAAGATGCTAGCAATTTCTTCCCCAACAAAAATACATCAAGAAAACACAAACAGAAAAATTATCTTACTAAAAGCAAAGCTATCATAAAAATGTGAGAGGAATCTAATCAGGTTGTTTACTTATTTTCCATATTATCTGCTTCAACCCTCCAGCCTGTTTTTTGCTGAGTAACAGGCACCCATATTCTTCCCATTGCTAAATTCTATATGCCATTGTTGCGTGATTCTCCTCAATTTTTTGTTTTATTTATTTTTAGATGGAAGCAATTGGCAGCTGACTAATAACAATTTTCATATACTGCAAAACAATACATAATGAAGAGATTTTATGAAATTGTATAAAAACCCAGGAATACTTGACATTGTCATAGTGCAAAAAAAAGAGGTAATTTTTATTGACTCTAAGGAATTTAGAAATACATAATAATTATACTAGCTATTCATTTTAATAACAGTAAGATTATCAATAAAAGCTCTATCAAAAGATGGTAGAAAAACGAAATTTTTAATCCCAATACAATTTTGCTGCAAGCTGCCCTCATAGCAGAGGGTCAGTACTTGAATTATGATACAAAAGCTTGATGATTCATCAGGAAATTTACTTGGGAAAGCATGATTTATGAAAAAAAACTTTTCATTATATGTAAATGAATTTAAATGCTTCTTGGTAGTGCCTGTGTCATTTACGACATTTTATGACAAGCTCAGAAATACTCCTATGCAGTAGCATTGAAAGCACAATCACGTATATTTCAGCATATTTCCGATTCTGTTATATTAAAATATGTGAAAAACCGAGAAGAGAAAACTAGCAGAGAAGAAAGGGTACGATATTATACTGTTAAGGGTTTAATTTTAAAAATGACAATCCATTGATGAAAACAATAGTGCACTTGATGAACAAATAGATCACCTTCCTGTTACAGCCTGTGCTAAGGATTAACCAATTGCTCTTGCCAGGACTAAAATGAATATAGGTGTATGAGTTACAAGCTGGTGAAATTCAAAGATTTCTCTTCCCACTCAGGTAGTACTTTAGTGGAACTGTTAAATACCAGAAAAGAAAAAAAAATGCTGCACAACTAAGATGGAACAAAAAACTACACCATCCAGCACTGGCAAGCTGTGACTTAGGTGTTATGTGGCAGAGAACGTTTAGCAAATGGCGGAGGCCTGGTTCCATTGTGTTGCATATGGTGTGTTGCGTTGTGTTGCATTAATTCCCACTTTATAATTTTGATTTTGAGAAGGTAAAATAAGAAAGAGTAAATTCCCCAGGGTAATGAGTCTTCCTCCTCCCATCAACTGAGTAACAGAGTTGCTCAAAATTGCACTATACAAAAAAAAAATAATAAAAAAAAAATCACAACTGTGTGGCTGTGAGATGTTCAGTTTATCAAACTGGAACTACAGTTGACTCCCGATCTGATCTTTGTGTTTTCCATCAGTGAGTCCTAGTAACTTCCCCAGTTCCTCTGTAAACCGAGACCTCCTGGCTCGACAATATTTGGAGGAAAACACTGAAAACTCTGCTGCTGATTTCTACCCCTTGTGATTTAACATTCTGGCATTGGGCCAAAGAAGTCACCAGAAGGCAAATGTGATCCATGCATTAATAAGCATTGAGTCATGGCCACAATCTACATAGCAGGACAACTCCAAAATCTGAAGTCTTCCCTGTTCTATCCACCTTCACCTCTTCCCTCCCCCCTTCCCTCCTGACTAGTTCAGCAGCCTGCTGGCCAGTCTCACTGCCTCCATTGTCTCTACCTGCCTTCTAATTCATCCTGTACATTTTTATAGCTCTAATCATTTTGTAGCAGGATTTCATTTTGTACATTTATTCTTTTTCCTAGGAAATGAACTTCTTGAATGAAAAAGCTATATATTATTTACCTTTTAATTTTTGTTCTGTATAACCCAGGGCATAGAGAAGGGCAAAGTTCCTTAGAGTTGCCAGCAGTAACTAGGGAGTTGGGACCTGGATAAAATGCTGAAGAGGGAGAAAGTGAGATGACAGAGCAGGGAGCCCAGTCAGGAGCTCTGCCATATGTTTTCAGTGATTTGGGATAAGGTTCCCAAAGCCCTACATCTTACATCTTGGAGCCCAGGATAGACTGGACATTAAAAGAATTTATGTTAAATTAATGAATAAGTGGAGGAGTGATTTACCAATAGAAACTTTCCTATCAGGGGAATTAGTGTCATTTTCTAAAATGCTTGCACAATAAATAAATGCTTTCAATAATAAAGGAAGTATTATTATTGAAACGCATTTCATCTTAGACCAAAGGGGCCCAGTGTCTTCAGTTGGCACCCTGAGTATGCAAGCCTTACCAAATCCTTGTAACCAACGTCTTGTAGTTTCTTGAAGGCTACACAGAAACATAACTATCCTGTGTGTCATTCATTTAACAGAAGTCAATATATTTGCTGATTTGGTGCAAAGTATAAGTGGAAGGTAATTGATTCATGTTTATTTCTTCTCCCAAAATTTGCTTCTCAAAAGGGTTTTAGTTCTGTCATCATGACATGGCCCCTTCCTACTTGGTTTCCATCCTCATCTTTGCTACGCCCCCAAATACCTACATCTCAGCCATTCTAAACTAAAACTTCCAGAGTACGTCTCGACCCACTCACTTCTCAGCCTAGAAAACCTTTCTCTGCTTAATTATTCGCAGATTAAGCATCATATCACCTGTAAGGTGATCAGCATCTGTGACTGACTAGGCAGGTTTAGGAGACATTCCCCTCTGCGTTATCACACCGGGTACTGTGTGTTTATTGTAGTGCTTTTCACACTGTACTGGGCTTACTGTGTATTTGTCTTCCACGCCTACTAGAATGTAAGATTCTTGATGCTAAATATTATGTCTATCATGTTGGCATTTTCAGCCTGTGGCATTTTTAAGAGTGTACTAAAAAATATTTATTAAATATATGATTCAGTGAATGGTCCCAAATAATTCATTTTGGAAATTTTTAATAGCAGACATCTTTAACGGAACTTAAGAGATAGTGGTGTCAGGGGATGCCAAAGGTGCCTTTTGTAGTCCATCCCTTCCACCAACATCTAAAGGCTGACCTCCTTCTCAACCAGGAAAACTCATTACTTCCTGATACCTGCAGACTCCACTTGGCTCAGATTCAGTGTGCAAAACAGTTTATAGCTGACCTATTTCATTTTTCTGTTTGTCATGGGCTTCTTACCAGCCAGTGAAAGATACTCACTTTAAAAAACTAAGTGATAGGCTGGGTGCAGTGGCTCACGCCTGTAATCCCAGGACTTTGAGGCTGAGACAGGTGGATCATGAGGTCAGGGGATCGAGACCATCCTGGCCAACATGGTGAAACCCCGTCTCTACTAAAAATACAAAAATTAGCTGGGTGTAGGGGCGCATGCTTGTAATCCCAGCTACTTGGGAGGCTGAGGCACAAGAATCGCTGGAACCCAGGAGGCAGAGGTTGCACTGAGCCGAGATCACGCCAATACACTCCAGTCTGGCGACAGAGCAAGACTCCATCTCAAAAAAAAAAAACAAACAAAAACAAACAAAACAAAACTAAGTGATATTACACAGCAGTTCACCAAAACTATTTTTCCCAATTTTTGACTAATTAATGTGAACAAGGCTGGCTTACCTCCCCTGTAACAAGAAAAATATTATGTACTAGAGATAATATTATTATTTGGTCTCACTTGTGTCTAGTACAGTGCTGGGCACCCAGTGAATTTCTGAAATAGAAACAGATTGGCTAGCTAATCCCTGCACGGCTGAGCTATGGGATTCAGGAATACCTGGGGCATTGAAATCTGATATCTCCCAGCACATTCAACAGACTCTGAATTCCAGATGAACCAGGCCACCTCTGAGAGCACACACTGAATGATGCAGCCATCTGGAAACTGACTTTTTAATTTCTCTGTGCAGTAGAGGTGAAATGAAAGTTCAGCTACAAATTTAAATGCTTTTAATATGATTAGAGGCTATTAAATATTTAAGTGTGAATTAAACTGATATTTGTGTAGTGACAAGTAGAGTATTGAAACCAGGGAAATGATCCCTGGTTTCTATCTCAGATAAATCTTGTCTCTGGCTTCACTGTATAGGAATTCAGAGGCAAACCAAGGATTTAAAAGTATGTCCTAATTCTTCAGATGAACAATACCATCTATAAATTGGATAAAAGGATTTGAAGACTTTAATATGTGACTAACTCTTCCATCTATATACTGGAAATTAGGAGTTAATGACTTTGAGGCCTGGGAAGTAAAATAGCAGACACATACATGATGACACCCACAAGAACTGAGAAAATTTTTTAAAAGAATATTTTTTTCTTCTCCTTCCTACCCTCAAAACCATGGTGTCTTGTGCCCAGGAGCTAATCTGCTAAACCAAAAGTTTATTGTCAGAAGGCTGCTTCTCACATACAGTGTGCTTTTCCCATCTTCATAACTTGGCTTTGGCTCTTTCCTCTCCACAGAATGCTCTTCTGGTATATTCTTTCACTCCCTGTTGTTCTTGATAACTTCCACTTCATCTGCTAGCCTTAGTCCAGTTGTCTTCTTCTGCAGGCATCTTCTGGTGATTCCTCCTCCAGGCTCGTACAGCATGGGGAACATAGAACTGGCTTCATGTGCGGCAATAATATTTTGTTACTATGCATTTTTGTAAGGTTCTCTTTGATCTCTTTGATGCAGGGACTCTCTCAGGTTCATCTTTGTATCCCTATTACTTAGCACAGTGTTTCACACACAGTAGATGCTCAATAAACAGTTGCTGAATTGGACAACACAAAATTTCCCATTACCTTTCATGTCTTTCCTTCACTGCTACTTTTCTCTTCATTAGAGCCTCTTTCTTCAGGGTGCAGTAATCAGTTGTGGACCCTGAGTTCCAAAACACCCATCAAAACTGCTAACAGGCCATGTCCTGTCAGTGAGCCCTGCTTCTGGCTCATCTCATGCACATTCTCATCACACCAATGAGAACCTTAACACTCTCCTTGTTGACAGCCTTGATTTTGTAGATGGCCAGAGGGTTCAGCACTTACTCATAAAAAGTCACCCAGCCAGTTGGTGACACTACTGAATAGAGAGCCTAGTTATACCATTTTTAATTTTAAACTCTTCACACTTTCCACCTTGTTTTTTTTTGTATTCCATTTTATCAAGACTGGTTGGATTATTTAATATATGATGAACTAATCCATACAAAAAGGTAGACTACTCCAACAGAAATAATACTTCTCGAATGGTGGAAATATCAGTCACCAAGACAAAAATTATATAAAGATACTGATAGGTGATGATGCCCTTAAATCACTCCAAGTATGCAAATTCCTACTTTATCTACACCTAACATCGTTTTGTATTTACTAATACCTTGATGAGGATGCATGCCAAAGACATTGTGTGCTTCTCTGGGGAGGTTGAGTTTGGAAACCATAGATTTAAAAATAGCCAGGAAGTGACTTGCAAAAATATCCTGAAGCACCAAAAGAGATCTTCAAGCAAAAGGACCTCATTTTCTGAAGAGGTTACTGTTTAGCTTCAACAGTCTGAAGGCAATGAAATGCCAGAAATGCTGGCCAACACTGGGAATAATAAAGTAGAAGAATTTCAACAAGTTAGGAAACTGGTTCTTTTGTCCTAGGAGTACCAAGGAAATCAAGACATAATGCGTAAAGCTGAAAGTGCTGACATTGTACTTTTTATTTCTCTTCCTGTTTGTTGGACCAGTTTACAAAGAATACAGCCAAGAGTTTTTCTTTGACAAGGTTCACTAAGGGAAACACAGAATCCTTCCAAGAGAGTTTTTTTTGGGAGGGAGGTGTGCAGAATTTCATTTCTGGATCCATTTTCTCATTAATAGGTTTACTATCATCCAGCGAATGTTATTGGAGAAATAGATTCAATACCGTGGTTCAAAAGCATGTTTCCTTCAACCTCACAGTCTGATGAGTTGCAAAGGTATGACACTGGCAAGACTTGCCAGCTGTGCTGGAGTTGTGTTTCCATATTCATAGAAATAATCTACTAACCTATGGAAAAAAAACCCAAAACAGCTTGCATATATATGTACATTATTCACAAAAAGAAAATGCTTCTCCCTGGTGTAGAGCATCTGTGTTAAGGGAAAAAATCATGGATGCTGGGTGAATAATTCCTGGCTTCCCTACTCGATGATGAAACTATAAGGAAAGAAGCAAGACCCCAGCCACTCTAACCATCCCATCCATCTCAGCTGGGAGGCTTTAAAAGCATGATGCATAGTGAATGCTTATGCCACCAAGTTGTTACAAGTAAACACTACTTTGACACTTACTGATTGGTTTCTGAATAAAGTCTAATGTCCAGCCTACATATGTGTGCTCAATAACTTGTTTCTAATGGGCACTGTTTGTTTGAGATTTTCTGAGATGTAGAGTATGGAGAAAATCTCAACCAGTTGCCATGTTATACTCACTCCCAGCAGCAATGGTCCCTCCAACATATGCTACTGGAGTGAGAATGGGTGGGCAGCCAATCCCCCTTACCACTAAATCAAGGTCCTCCTGGACAAGCAGGATGTTAACTTCCAAATCACAGGAATTTTCAAACAAATAAGTTGTTTGATGAAAATGTGTCCACAGGAGTAACTACCCTGGTGGGAGGCTGAGTTCATTTTAGGTCAAATGCCAAGTTGATTCTGGGTCAAGGCAAGGATGTCCCCCGGAGATCACATTCCTCCCAAACCAATCTTGAACAAAATGCTAAAATTAAAATGCTTAAAAACCTCACTGTTAGTCCAAATATCTTTATTTTAAGAAGACACTCTAGAAATTATGTTAGATACTGCCCATCATTTGGTGTTTTTGCAGTGCTTATTCTAGTTGAGACCAGATGGAACAGAGTGGAGCATGTGACAGCACCCACAGTGATGACCAGGTGGTTGTCTAGGGCTGGTGAGTGGCAATCAGTGGAGAAGTATTTGTGGTCTGGAAATGCCATTACAGATTTAGTGTCTATGAAGGAATACTTTAAGAGTAAGTGAACAGCTTGGCATTTGGCTGGAGGGAAATAGGAGGAAGCCCTGAAATCCATTCTCTGATCTTTTGAATTACTATTTAGCGCACTACTAAGCATATGTAGCACCTTAATAAAAATTTACTGAGTTGTACTAGTCTCTAACAGTGTATTTTTTGTGTGTGTAGGATCTGGACCAACTTATTTATTTATTTATTTATTGAGACTGATTTGCACTGTATCACCCAGGCTGGAGTGCAGTGGCACGATCTCAGCTCATGCAACCTCCACCTCCCAGGTTCAAGCAATTATCCGACCTCAGCCTCCCGATTATCTGGGATTACAGGTGCCTACCACCATGCCAGGCTAATTTTTGTATTTTTAGTAGAGATGGGCTTTCACCATGTGGCTAGGCTGGTCTTGAACTCCTGACCTTATGTGATCCACCCACCTCGGCCTCTCAAAGTGCTGGCATTACAGGCGTGAGCCACTGTGCCCGGACAGGATTAACTAGTTGCTTGTTTCCTGGTATGCTATCAAAACTACTCTAGGCCACAGTGTTTCCACTTTTTAAATTAGGTATTTGAATGAACTCCAATTATACTCTCAGAACTTCTGATTTCTTCTTGAATCATAGCTTCTTATTTCATTTATTCATGAAAATGTTCTTAGTAAACGGCTAGAGGAGCCAAGTGTCTGGAAATCTTGGGGAGAAGGTCCACAGTTATCAAGGCTCTTCTTAGTGTCCTCTTGACTACAACTCCACATCAGGAGGCATTTTCTCCATGACAAACCTGCAAATTCTGTGAGAAGGTAAATGAGAATGCCTGCTTGGGGGAGGAATGAATGCAGATTAAAGTCTGCTGTTTGCCAGACACTGTTCTAGAACTTTAACATACCTTATTTATTTAACAGTCACCACATCTCTACGGCGGGGGGGCAGGGGAGGGGCACAGTATTGTATGTTATGCTATAGGGGAAGAATTAGAGACTTAAAGAAAGTAGGTAATTTCCCCAGCCTCTGGCATCTTATAAAGAGTGAAGTCAGGATTTACCAACTCTACTGTAAGACTGCAACTCGTTAAGACCATCATCATCTCTCAACCCAACAACTGTAATGGATAGCTAGCTTGTTTCCAGCTTCCACTTTTCCTGCATAAGCTTATTTTGCAACACATACAAGCACAAATCATATCATAGCAAACCTTGCTTAAAAGCTTTCAGTAATTTTCCACTACTCCTAGAATAAAACCCCATGGCCTATGAGATTCTCCATGATCTCTCTCCCCTCTGCCTCTTCTACAATTCTCCTGGCCTTTTGAAAAGCAAAGCCCTGATACTTCTCAAACTTGTTCCCTGCCTAGGCCACTTGCATTCACCATTCTCAGTGCCTGGAACACTTCCTCTAGATCCGTAAGTGGCTGGCTGCATCACCTTACTCATAGCTACCCCTCAGCATCCATCCCATTGTCCTATGTCATTTTTTATAACAGTTTAATATATAAATATGTAAACAAAATTATTAATTTTGTACACATCTTTCTTATACACTAAGGTATAAGTTTCACCTATCTCCAGCATGTAAAACAGTGTGGTGGTTGGAACCATTTTATAAAAGAAATAATAAATTCCTCTGTGCGTGCAAAAAGTGATTTAAGGATAACCTATACATGCAGATTTCTTCCCATTTATCTTGGCATTTTATTTAAAGGTTAAAATAAAAAAGCATATGAAGACATGCAGTGGATCCTTTAAAAACATTTCTCCTTCCAAGGAAATAGATGTCTTCTCTTACATGCACAAAACAAAAGCCTTTTCACAAAATACTGTCTCCATGAAAAATAAAAAGCCCCAAAACATCGCTCTCAATCATTAGGCAGCTTGGCACACATACAGGGTCTAAAACTGTCATCCCATAAGCTAAACATATGAAGGCAATGATTGCAGGAATCTCACCAAACCCTTTGCTGTTGTTCCTCACCTATTCCCACTCTCACCCTCTATCCTTTAGGTTACTGATTTTTCCTCCATTTCCCATTCACTATCCTGGTCTTCAGAGTTGACTTTTTTTGGTCTCCTTGACTTGTGAGGCTCACTTTCTTTTAAAGAGTTTGTCTTAGAACAAGTATGCTACCTTTCTGTGTGTCAGCCTGACCTGTTCAAAGCATTCTGATTTATGCATACCGCAGGCCTTCCTAGCTTTTTTTTGAGACAGTCTCGCTCTGTCGCCCAGGCTGGAGTGCAGTGGCGCGATCTCGGCTCACTGCAATCTCCGCCTCATTGGTTCAAGCGATTCTCCTGGTCAGCCTCCCGAGTAGCTGGGACTACAGGCACCCACCACCACAGCCATCTAATTTTTGTATTTTTAGTAGAGATGTGGTTTCACCATATTGGCCACGCTGGTCTTGATTTCTTCACCTCGTGATCCGCCCACCTCAGCCTCCCAAAGTACTGAGATTACAGGCATGAGCCACTGTGCCCGGCCCTTCCTAGCTTTCTTTAAAGAGAAAAGCAACACATGCAAGAAACTGGAAAACCCAGGCTTGACCTTCACATCCACTCTGGGCTGTAGCCACCTTGGTCTATTTGCAGTAAGTCTCTTTCCCTCTTTGTCTTTGACTTGCTTGGGACCCTCTTTCCAACTTTTTCTGACTAACTGTACCTCATGACTTAAGTCTTGTCTTAGATGCCATTATCTTTAGGAAAGCTTCTCTCATGAACCAAAGCCTCAATTAAGAGTCTCAGTTGATCTCCTGGAGTCCTGTATTTTGCCTTTTAAACAGCTATGTAATTTTTTGGTTTCTCATCTATGTAGTCCATAGGAGGACTCAACATAAGATGCTTGAGAGTAGAAACTCTTGTCATATTTGTCGTTTTCCTCCTGTTGCCTAATATAATACCTGACACATAAGAGCTTAAGAATATTTTATTCAGTTACTGGACTAACCTGCCTAGAAGCAGAAGAATCTCCCTCTCTTTTGCTTCATACCCCTCCCTGACTTCTGGGTCTGATATCTTTGTGGACCTGCTTATTTTAAGCACACAGAGTTAAATAGTCCAGGTGATAATAGACCTGGAGAGTTCTTCCGGTGCTGTCACTTGGCTGGCTCAGATCCCGTCTGTCCCCCACAGTGCTCCTGCTCACAAGCATCACCTGAGACCTATGCAGTACGGCACGCAGCTGTGTACTTTCTACACCTCTGAAAGCAGGTCACAAGGAGCTCCGATTATGTCCACATTCAGCTCCCTCTACAGGGAGGACTGGCCCTAACATTTCCAATCTACAATAATTCACTTGATCACATCTTTCTGATTTAGAAGGTGAGGATAACTTTGTTAAAATTGTGGTTTTCTAATTTTACATTCAAGGAAAAGTCAAATTGTGAAATGATTTAATTACCAAGGGCACATATGGCAATGAGCTAAGTGGAGAAGGGCGTGAGTTGCAAAGTTCCACTACTTAGGGAAGAATTAAAAACAATCTCAGCTTCCCTTGTCTGAACTTTGAAAAGATGTGCATTTCAAAGGAATGGGGGGCCTTCTGAATAACACCATGGGCAGGTACGTTCCTTATTAGGAGTGAAAGCTCTTACTTATTTGAGATGTGAAGGAAATATTAACTTCCTGTGTTTGTTATTATCTAGGATTATGACAATGTTTTTAGTTTGTAAATCTTTATCTGCTAAAACCTCTTCTGCTAAGGATGAACCTTGGGACTCTCCAAGTCACCAGAATAATTGGCCTTCATCTATCCCTGCAGAAACACTGCTATGGATCTCTGTGCGCTTAGAATAAAAGCTGTGTTTCAGTAGCACAGTTGCTCCTTTCCAGAACATACATATATACATATATACATATAGCTATATACATATATTTCTCTCCTAAAACCTAGCCCTCATTTCAGTGGTTCCCATATCTGACTTCATTTTATATAATTGTGCTTCTCTATGCCTCCTTATCTTTGCAAACTCCTCTACGATTTCCCTTCCCAAATTTATCCAGCAATGTACTGGGATTATGTCATTCTTTTGAGGATCTGTTCTCACCATATTCTCATTTTATACTTTCTTTTTCTAGTCCTGAATCACACTGCTTTGTCCTTCACCAAATAAGGTGCATTTTTTCTCCTCTCTAGCTAGAGTTTACTTCTGTCCTCTCTTGAGCTACTGACCTGCTTTCAGACTGGCAAAGAGATGCCTTACTCTCTTGTGATTTGTTTACATATCTGTCTCCCACTGTAGGTACCAGGCTCCTTAAGAAAATGCTTTCTTTAGAGCCCCTCTCAGCGCAGTGGGCAGCACGTCAGTCTCATAATCTGAAAATGCTCTCTTTGTCTTTGTGTTCCCAGTCTTGCTCCTTACATGGCACCTAGTCACTCAATGATCTTCGGTGAAATGGGTTATTCTATGGAGTATTGGCAAGGATCTAACCAAATGCTGATGGCCAGGGGCCCTTGTATGTTACAGGGTTATGTGGTCAAACACCATAATCAAATATGAACAATAATACTTTTAAACGAGGACAGAGTTTTCCGTAATATTTTATTCCTTTGTCTAGCTTTAGGGTCCCAGAATGTATATTAAGTCTTTCAAGAAGTAAAAGTGAGTATTGACAACTAGCAAATGTTTACAAAAATTAAAATGCAATCAGCCCTAGACTAAATAAAATTCTTCCAAGACTTTAATTCAGTGGTTCCATTCAAACATCTTTCTTAGGTAATATTAGGAGTAACAGTTGCATAATTGGGAGGCTATATTACATCACCAAAACTTGTTAAATCTATTTTGTAAATTTAATCTCAGGATAGATAGCTTAATCAATATGGATAAAAGGTGGGGGTAACAATATGGATATTGCAATGCTTCTAGATGATTATTGTTTTCAGGAAAATACAATCAGATCATTTTAAAGAGAGACAGTAATTAAAAACTGTTAGTAAAATTTCAGATCACATTGATCTCTACAGTGTCCATGTGCCATTGGAAGTTGAAATTTGGTATCATTCTAATGACCCTTTTCATTAATGATTATCTTGACTTTTTTTATTTCTATAATTCTTCAGATTGAAGGTGGAAAAAACAGTATACTCAAGGAATGGTAGTGGGGGAGAAATAAATACATCATATAAATCACATGTCATTCAAGTTCCTGGCTTCCATAGTCACATCCTGACAATCCTTGTTCACCCTCTGTGTGACAGCTCTGTAATAAAGAGGGCAAACATAATCAAACACTGCCCTTCTGCTTTAAATGTTCATTTTTTAATGACACCAAGAGACAAGCAAAAGTATTCAACATGAATAATGCTTAAATAAAATATATTCAAATTGCTGTGCAATTGTGTAACTCCCTCCGTCCCCCCACCCATTCATATGACTGGGTTTGGAGATGAGGTCTTTAGGAGCTAATTAAGGTTAATGAGGTTACAAGGATGGGGCCCTAAACTGAAAAGACATGTGCATGTGAGGACAAAGCAGCCACCTGCAAGTCAGGGGGAGCCCTCACCAGAAACTGAACCCCACTGGAAACTTGATCTTGCACTTTCAGCCTCCAGAACTGTGAGAAAATAAGTTTCTGTTGATTAAGCCATGTAGTCTGTGGTACTTTGTTAAGACATCATAGAAATATGAAAAGAGAAGAAAGCATTGAAGACACTGTCTGAGAATGTGGATCAGGGTGAGCATCTATGGGAGTGTCTATGAAGCAATGGCATTTGACTTGAGACTTGAAGAAAGAGAAGGTTCTCCAGGATATATAAATAAATAAACAGAAAAGAGTTTACCTGGAAAACAAAAGAATGAGAGACAACATACAGAGCCAAGAAAGAACATGGCACATTCAAGGAAAGGGAACAACTTGGTGTGACTGAGATACATGGCAGGTGGGTGGGAGTAGTGATGAAGCCACAATTGTGGTGGTGGGACAGTCTGTGAAAAGGCTGATGACGATGGTTCTGCCAGGAAAGATTAAACAGGAGAGAGAGGCTTCATGCATTGAGACACCTCTGGACCATTGTACTAGTCCAGATGACAAACGATGAAGGAAGGGACTGGCTAGGAAAGGGATGAATTCAAAAGAGATTTGGAGATAGAGAAAACCCTCTTTGGTTTTCTCTAACAGTGATGATCCTGTTACTAAGAGAAGAAATATATAAACAGGTATTTAGATGTTGGAACCACATGGCATGTTGTTAATTATGTTTCTTTCTATTTAAAAAGAAAAAAGACATTCTAGAAGCCTCCAAGTAGGGAGAGAGATATAGATAAGTAAGAGTAAGAGAAGGACTTTCCCTCAAAAAATGTATTACCTACAAGAGGACAAAATACAAATGTTTCAACAATGATAAGACAGCATATGCTATATTCCATAATAAATGAATACATAATTTTAGAAAAGCACTTCAAAAGAGGTACATTTTACATTTGGTCAGCTAATAGAAAATGTTATGGAATGAGTTTAGCTGTGTTTGAATCTCAGATCTGTCATTATCTGCCTGGATAAATATAGGTGCTGAATAAATGTTGGTTGAAAATGGATAAGTGATAACTTTGGATAAATAAATTTCTGAATCTTCATTTCTTTTCCGCAAAACACAATGCCTAGAATATAAGGTGACCTGGCCGGGTGCGGTGGCTCACACCTGTAATACCAGCACTTCGGGAGGCCAAGGCAGGCAGACTACCTGAGCTCAGGAGTTCAAGACCAGCCTGGGCAACATGAGGAGTCCCCATCTCTACTAAAAATACAAAAATTTGCTAGTCATTGTGGCGTGTGCCTATAATCTCAGCTATTTGGGGGCTGAGGTGGGAGAACTGCTTGAACCCGAGAGGCGGAGGTTGCAGTGAGCCAAGATTATGCCACTGCACTCCAGCCTGGGTGACAGAGCAAGACTGTCTCAAAAATAATAATAATAATAATATAAGGTAACTGAGGAATTTCCTGTTAGCATGAAATAGGTACCCACAATCTGTGCCCTGGGGATGTCATTTATTCTTCCCAAAAAGGATCAAGAATCTATAGGTCAGAAAAGTGAGATTGCCCCCCTCTCCCTACTGATTTGAAAAGTCAACCAAAACAGTGTGTCCTATGCAATTCTGGAGACATCTGTGTTCACCCAAATCTCCAAACATCCTGAAGAGGCATCTGAGACTCCATTCTTGAGGTGAGTGGGGGTTGTGGGGTATGTGTTGGGAAGCAATGGGTGTGATGTGGGTGTGTGTTGCAGGGAGAGGGAAAAAGGAGAAGAATAGAAAACTATGTACAGGCTTGAAAATGACAAATTTCTCATTCTTCTGTGATATAATATAGGAAATATTAATCACTAATTTTTCTGCAGAATTAAACATATTAATATCTAAGTTTTATGTGAAAACTGACCGACTGAAAATAAAACAGCAAATCAAGGACTACAAACATACCAATTATTCCCTGGTTAATTACTTGTATAGCTTGATTTGAGGTGTTAGCATGCGTTTTTAAAAATTGTTCATGGCATCTTTATATTTATCCTTTCTCAGATATTGAGCCAATTAGAAAACAATAGCATTGGTAATTCCTGTATAACACACTCCATTTTCTCCAGGATTGACAATCTTGCTCTCAATACCTATAACCAGCAAGACTGAGTGATATATCGTATATGTGACATATCACTGGTACCTTACTAAAATGTATATATGATTGAATGTTAGGAGATTTACAATACATAGAAAATGCAATCCCTTTTATCTAATATAATAAGATAACCAGTGGCATTAATAATGTGCCACATGATTGCACTTAATTTCACCACAGGTAAAAGAAGATTTAGAGATTTGAAAATGTGGATGTCACCTCTGACAACTAAACAACATAAGTAGACAATAAAGTGCTATTAAAAAATGGAACACATCACTCAAGTGCAAAGCCCAGGTGCTGGAGACTTTGATTCAAATCTGAACTCCTAACACATGCAATACTCTCAAAGTTACATGATAAAATATAGATTGTAATTACTTACATGTACATCTACCTGAAAAATGGATCAGACAAGAGCAAAATAGGGAAATATATCTGTCTGTTGCCAATCATTCTAAAAAAAAAAAAAAACCTATAGTAACATGAGAAAACCTGATAGAAAACTGTGAAAATTGGCAGCTTTATCCTTTTTTCTGTGACATACTAACATAGTTTACAAATCCAAAAGTGTTTGCCAACTTTTGCCTGTGTCTTACTGAAATGGGATAAAAATATAGCCACAAGTGGATGGATCCATCACAGTGCTAGATTCTACCATTAGTAGAACCAGCCTCGATCCTCAGTAATCACAGTGGGCTGTTGGCCATCAGTACTGCCAGTTTCTGTCCAAGAGGATGGCCCTTACTTCTCAACCAGAGCCCTCAGGTATTTTTCTCTTAAAATTAGCCCTCAAAAAAGAATTGGGAACTGATTTGAACCAAAATGTTAATAACTAACAGTAGCTTCAACTGGTTTCACATTTTACATTTCAGAGAACTCAAACCATTAAACTAAAAAATTATTAATAGCAGGAATCAGGAACCTACAGCACTTTTTTCAAATAAGGCTGAACATCTAAGGATTTATTTTAGTCCTCATTATATAATGAAAATGCCCTGGGTAGTTTGAACACCTGGGCTAGCTCATGTACTCAGTATATATAAAAGACTAGGCAATAGAAAGAAAGGAAAATAGATGAAGCTGTAACAGGAATTAGGCCTTAAACTTAATTTCAACTCAGTTTTTAACTCAATAATTAACTCAATTTCCCTACTTGATGTCATTTTCTTATTATCCATGCAAATGTGTTCAGAGGAAACTTTGCTGTTAGAATACATTTCTGCTTTCTAACAAGTAGAGAAAGAAAATTAGAAGTGGTTGCAACAGCTGTGATTCTTTTGTGGCATCTTGTTCTGGATCAGAAAATGTGTCTAGCACTTGCTTCTAAGCATTGTCTTAGAAGATCATTAACGTAGATCTACTTTCTCCCATTTTGCAGATAAGAAAACCAAGAGTAGTTGTGAAATTCCCTCATGAAATATCACACAGCTAGCATGCAGTAAAACCAGGTTTTACAACTATCCTTTAGTGACCTCAAAGCTTCACTCTTTCCATTCCACTACGACAGATAGGAATTTTGCAATTATATAGTCAAGTATTTTCAAAGGTGTCATATATGAGTTTGTCTATCTGATTATGCATTTAAGGGTAGAGACTACTGTGCCTTTTGAGAAAACTGTACTTATATACCTTTGGGCCTTGAAACCTAAAGCAACTATAAATTTTCAGTTCACATAAGAATATTTCTAATTAAATATAAGGAATTAGCATTACTTGTGTTGTGTCTCAACCTGTATATACTCAGCATTGTCATAATGATTCTAAGATTTTGCTTGCTATAGTGATCTCAGCTATCTGACAGGCAATTTACCAGATCTCATTTTTACTTATTTAATTCATTTCTGTGCTCCTTTTAAATATGGGTGCCACACATGCCTGCTTCCAGTTTATGACTCATCTATTTATTATGAGTTCTGGGCTTTGGATCTTTCTTCAATTGCTGTTATGGTTGCAATATCACTCTATATAGTCCTACAAGGTCATTCTGACAAGAAGAACTCAGGTTCATTATGTAAGTGGCCAGGTGATCTATTATTACTCTCTTTTTGTGTCAGGTAATATAATGAAAGCACTGAAAATGTTGTCTCGTTCTATCAAAATGCATTTTAACTTACAGTTTCTCTGTGTGTATGGCTTCTGCACTTTTGAACTGGCAACATCCTGAAAAATCCAAAGACATGGATAATAATAAAAAATCACTATAAATATTAGGCACCTTTTGAAAATAAATACAGTGATGCCTTTATTCGTGCATTAATTGGATCATTCTTTTGTTTTTAACTCAAAAAGTACTTACCTTCCAGGCACTGCGACTCCTCCTGGAGGATGTATCGGAGAACAAGGCACTGCCTCTACCCATAGGGAACATGCAGTGCAGAGGAGATACAGACAAATAAACAGAAAATCACAATTGAGAAATGTGCTCCAATGGGGCAAGCACAGAGACTATGGGAGCCCTTAGGAATAGCACTTACTACAATCTTGAGAAGTGAGGGAAAATTTATTTTACTAGATCACAGTGTTATTAATGACAGATGACCCTGGAGGGGAAAGCAAGAGGACTCTCACAAATAGTCTTGCACATAATGTTGAGAAATCTGGCCTTCATCTAGTGGGAAATGGGGGCCATTAAAAGGTTTTTAATCAGGAGGGTGGCATGATTACGTGTGCATCTTTGCAAAGTCATCCTAACTCCATTAAGGAGAACATAAATACGTTCAGTCTTTGGCGACACATTTTTTTGGATAAAGTCTTCCTAGAAAAGTGAAAGGTAAGGTGAGATTAATCTCAATCAGGATAAGGGGGGTGAGGACTGAGGGAGAAACTGCCCAAGAATGGCCTGAGATCTGGGCTTAAGTAAGGAGGTGTCTTACTTCTGGGTCTTCCATGATCTGGGTTCAGAGAAGGTTGATCAGGCCATGTTAAGACTGAGAGGATCATTCCCAGAGAAACATGATAGCTAGGTGCGAGATAAAGGGGAAAGGTAGCCTCAACTAGCAGTAGAGAGAGAAAAGTATTACTGAGCAATCGACTGCCTTGCATCCATAAGCCCCTATATTACTCTACCTTATATAATTACATTTCCAAAAGCAAAATATGCCTTCGGAATAGATACCTTTCATTGACTGAGTGGCCATTATTGTGAGTTGAAAAGGAAAGACCAGAATAAAACATCATCACATATTCAACTTTCTGCTGTTCATCTTTCTTCTTAGATATACCACAGAGACCATTAGTTTAACCTGACTAAATGATCCCATTTCCTCTCTACCCTTCAAACCTACTCCTTATCTCTTACTTCAGTAACTAAGGCCAGAACCTGAGATAAACTCTAAATTTTCTATAGATTCAATACAATTCCAATAAAATTTCCAGGAAGAAGTTGTAGATATCAACAAGCTGATTCTAAAATTTACATGGCATAGCAAAGAAAATCTAGTAGCAAAAATAATGCTGAAAAAAAAAACAAAATTGAAGTTACACCATCCAATTTCAAGACTTATGATAAAGATACTTTAATCAAAACAGTGTGATATTAGCAAAAAAAGTAAATATACAGATGAAGGGAACAAAATAAGATAGTACAGAAATAGAACCATACAAATATAGTCAACTGATTTTTGACAAAGGATTGAAGGCAATATAATGGAAAAATGATAGTCCTTTCAACAAAGTGTTGGAATGGCTGGACAACCACCTGCAAAAAATTAAATAAACCTTGTCACATATTTTATAATAATTACTTAAATGGATCATAAACCTAAATGTAAAACTTAAATTATAAAACTTATAAAAGAAAACAGCAGAAAATCTGTGGGATGTTCAGTGTGGCTATGAATTTTTAGATATGACACCAAAAGCATGATCAACAAAGACAAAATTCATCAATTAGACCTGGTTAATAGAACATTTGTTCTGCCAATGACACCATTAAGAAAATGAAAAGCCACAAACTGGGAGAAATATCTGCAAGTCATACATGTGACAAAAGATTTGTAACTTACAACTCGACAGTAAGAAAACAGACAACACAACTAAAAAGTGGGCAAAAGACGTAAACAGACTTCACCACAGATGATATGGCAATGGAAAAGGAAGCACAGGAAAGGATGCTCAACATCAGTTCTCATTAGAAAAATGCAAATTAAAGCCAAAACGAGATACCACCACTAAACACCGATTAAAATTATTAAATGAATGCCTTAAACACTGACAATACCAAATGCTAACAAGGATGTGAGGCATCACGAATGCTCATTCATTGTTGTTATATGCAAAATGGTACAGGCACTTTGGCAGTTTTTATAAAGTTAAACATAGAATTAACATACAACCCAGCAATTAGGCTTCTAGATATTTACCCAAATGAATTGAAAACCTAAATACACACACACACACACACACACACACACACACACACACACACACACGTATTCAGATGTTTATAGTAGCTTTAGCCATAATCACCTTAAACTGGAAACAATGTAGAAATCCTTTAATAAGTGAATAGATGGACAAACTAAGGTTAAGAGATATAATGAACTATTACTCAGGAATATAAAAAGGAATGAGCTATTGATTCATGCAACAAAACAGATGGATCTTAAGTGTATTTTCATAAGTGAAAGAAGCTAGATTCAAAGGCAACCTGTTGTATTACTTCATTTATATGACATGATTAAAAAGGAAAAACTATAAAAAACGGAAAAATCAATCAGTGGTTGTCAAGGGTTGGAAAAAGGAAAGAGTGATAAACTATTGTGAGGGAATTTTTATGGTGATAGAACTCTTCTATATGATCCTGGCTTGATAAATATCTGATAAATATCTTGATAAATAAATTTGTCACAACCCATAGAATTTTACATTTTAAAAACTAAATATTACTATATGAAAATTCTTTAAAATCAGCCAAGAAGGCAGGGGATGGAATGCAGATAATGAAAAAAAACTCTAACTGAATTACAATGGCATGATATGACCTCACTAAGGGTTGGGTACGGAAGAAGATCTGACCTAAGTAACCTTGGAAATGATATTTTGACTGGAAATTATATAGCTAAAGACAAAAAGTACTATAATAAACACTATTCTAGTTGACAAATTTTTTTCTCACGGAGGCCTGGGTCCGTGACACTGAAGCCACACTATGCAAGTTGATAAATTGGTTTCTCATAGAAGTCTGGGTTAGTGATTCTGAAACCACCTTACATATATATTAAGATTAAAAAAATAAAGAAATAAATTACATCATGAGAGCCAGATTTCTCAGTGTCAGAGAAAGAGGTTACAATAAGCAAGGGGATAAGGCTTGAACAAACCCTGTTTTACTGGATTTGAGTTGGAGAAATCAACATGAATGCAATTTTATCTTAATGTATATACACAAATAGCTAAAAGCAGAAATAATTATAGATATGTGTGTACACGTTGGTTACTATACATACATATATTTCTCAGCTCTGTCCAATGAGAGGGTTTAGAAGTAGTAACCTCTCAGTAGTAATAAGCACACCCAGCACCCAGATTGTGGTTTCTAAATATTATTCTCCAATAAAAGAAACTCGGACTCCTTCAAGAAATGACTGGGACAGGAAAAATATAAGATAAACCTGGAACATCTTGTCATGCCAGAAATAAGGAATCAATCAAAGAAAAAAAAAAGATGAGGATACGTCTTGAAGATACAGGAGCCAACCTGAAAGAGGCAAAGCTGGAATAATTTGAGCAACAAAATAATGTATTGGATTATAATGTACTGGAATACTGGACTATAACCTTGTGGGAGGCAAAATGATGGCCTCCCATAGATGTGCATAACCTATTCCCCAAGAGTGGTGAGTATGTTACATTACATGGCAAAGGGGAATTAACATTGGAAATGGAATTAAGATAGAGAATCAGCTGAATTTAAGATGAGAAAATTATCTTGGATTTTCTGAGTAGATGTGTCTGTGTATACAGACACAAGGGTCTGTATACATGGAAAAGGGAGGCAGGAGAGTCAGTGTCAGAGGGATGCAATGTGATAAAGACTCAGCTGGCGACTACCACCATTGAAGACGGATGGGGACCATGAGCCAAGAAATGCAAACAGCCTCTAGAAACTGCAAAAGGCAAGAAAACAGGTTCTCCACTAGACTCCCCAGAAAGGAATTCCCAGGCCCTTTAGCCAAATGAAGCCTATCGGAAGCACACGAGGGAGAACATAGTAACAGTTCAGTAGAGAAATCTGGCAGAACGCTAAGTGTGTTAGTCTTTTGTGTTGCTATAAAGGAATACCTGAGGCAGGGTAATTTGTAAAGCAAAGAAGTTTATTTGGCCAGGCGTGGTGGCTCACGCCTGTAATCCCAGTACTTTGGGAGACTGAGGCGAGTGGATCACCTGAGATCAGGAGTTCGAGACCAGGCTGGCCAAAATGGTGAAACCTCACCTTTACTAAAAATACAAAAATTATCCAGGTGTGGTGATGGATGCCTGTAATCCCAGCTACTCGGGAAGCTGAGGCAGAAGGATCACTTGAACTTGGGAGGTGGAGGTTGCAGTGAGATGAGATCACACCACTGCACTCCAGCCTGGGTGACAGACACTTGAACCTGGGAGGTGGAGGTTGCAGTGAGATGAGATCACGCCACTGCACTCCAGCCTGGGTGACCGAGTGAGACTCGGTCTCAAACAAAACAGAAACAAAAGAAAAGAAAAGAGATTAATTTGGCTCATGGTTCTGTAGGCTATAAATGATGCATGGCAGCAGCATCTGCTTCTTGTGAGGGCCTCAGGAAGGTACCACTCATGGTGAAATGAGGGGAGTTGGCATGTGCAGATCGCATGGCAAAAGAAGCAAAGAGAGAGGAGGAGGCATCAGGCTTGTTTCACAACTAGTTCTCTGGGGAACTCTCATGGGAACTAATAGAGATATTGCTAAATATTAGATACTACATATTAAATACTAGATATTGGCTGGGCGTGGTGGCTCACGCCTGTAATCCCAGCAATTTGGGAAGCCGAGGCCGGCGGATCATGAGGTCAGGAGTTCGAGACCAGCCTGGCCAACATGGTGAAACCCCATCTCTACTAAAAATACAAAAATTAGCCAGGCATGGTGGTGGGCACCTGTAATCCCAGCTACTTGGGAGGCTGAGGCAGGAGAATCGCTTGAACCCGGGAGGTGGAGGTTGCAGTGAGCTGAGATCGCGCCACTGCATTCCAGCCTGGGCGACAAGAGCAAGGCTCTGACTCAAAAAAAAAAAATTAAATACTAGATATTTTTGCCATTACTTTCAATGGCAAAAATAGCAATTCCTTTTGCACCAACCCAATGGAACGAACTCATTACCTGGAGGACAGCGCCAAGCCATTCGTAAGGAATCCACCCCCATGACCCAAATACCTCCTACTAGGCACCACCTCCAACACTGGGGATCACATTTCAGCGTGAGATTCAGTGAGGTCAAACAGCTCATATCTAAACCATAACATCAAGTGATCAAGATTAACCTCACCAGTGATAAATCATACTGATATTATGTACCCCTAATATGATGCTAGGAGAAGGTGCTCCACCTCTCTGGCATTCTTCACAAAAACCCAAAACCCCAGTCTAATCATGAGAAAACATCAAACAATGTCCCCTAATTGAGAGACGTCCTACACAATATCTGACCAGTACTCTCCAAAACTGTCAAGGTCATAAAAAACAGAAAAGATGGAGAAACTGTCATAGCTTGAAGGAGATTAAAGAAGACATGGCAACTAAGTGCAATGTGGTATCTTACATTGGATCCTGGAACAGAAAAACGACATTAGTTGAAAAATCTGTAAAATCTGAATAAAGTCTTAATAGTGCTGTCCCAAGGATAATTTCTTAGTTTTAACAAATGTACCATGACTATGGAAAATGTTAACATTAGGGGAAAGTAGGTTAAGAGTGTGCAGAAACAATCTGTACCATCATTGCAACTTTTCTGCACATCTAAAATTATTCCAAAATAAATGCTTATAAATTTTTAAATGTGTCCACATAAAGACTTATAATAACATTTATTCATATTAGCTAAAACCTAGTAAAAAAAATCCAAATGTTCATCAACACCACATAAATGGACAAGCAAAATGTGGTATATTCAAACAATTGAATAACTGTCAGCAATTAAAATGAATCAAATACTGATAAAGACTACAATATGGATGAATCTCAAAAGCATTATGCTGAGCAAAGGAAGCCAAATACAAATAAATGCATACTAGGCAATCCTATTTGTAAAAAGTCTAAGCAAGTGCTTACAAAATATTAAGCAAATCTATGGTGAAAAAAGTAAAGCAGTGGTTGCGTAGGGCTGAGAGTGGGAGGGGGTTGACGGAAAAGAGGCAATTAGAAACTATTTGGGTGTTGGTTACGGTATATATATTTCTTAAAACTTATTGCATTGTACTCTTAAAATGGGGGCATATTTTGTATGTAAATTATGACTTAGAGCTGATTTTAAAAGAAAAATATAACACATTTAGAAATTTCCCTTAGCTTCTCCAAATTGTTTTATTATACCAAATGAAAAAAACAAAATCTTCACCACATAATCCAGAATATGTAGTATCACTTTATTTATTGAGTTGTACATTTTATAATTTACTATTTACTATACAGCCAAATGAACAAAATGAAGTTAGTCATACTCATAACATTCTTTCCTGAATATTCCTTTAGAGTGTTGGGATAGGCATTTTTTCAGGTATTGTTTGGAAGAGGTATTGCAGCCATGAAAACCCAATTACCAGAGTGGGCAGACCATCTACACACAGCCCATTAGAGATGGTCCTCACCGGACCTATTCTGGTTAAGTTATTGCATAACATTTGCTATAACTAGCCTACTCCAGCAGTGCCCCCTCAAGTAAAGGGCTTTGATATGAAATCCTCAATCCATTTCTGACTGATATTACCAACTGCAAAAATGCAGGTGAAAGATAATCTGACCTAATACTCCATCATTTGTATGATCGTTTATCTGAAGTTGATGACTACTCCATTCTGATGGTTTTGGGATTTATGAACCTATAGCACCATTTAACACCTACATTTGCGCCTGTGAAAAACAGCAGTCTTTCCTAAACTGAACTCAGACTTGTTTATCTATATTTAAATACATTTTCCCTCTAAAACTAGTGGGTATTATTCAGAGTTTAAGGAGGTGAAAAAGTACCTATTTGTTTAAAAAAATGGCTAATTGTGATTTTGAGTATCTGTAGTTTTACTGAACAATATACTACTAGTGGAGCCATTTTTTAATCCACAGTTCAGAGCAAACATATAATTTTTAAGAGAAAAATTCATGTTAAGTTGCTACCTTTTCAGGAATCGTAAGATTCAACAAAAACAAAATTAATAAGTTTTAAATCAAATTGGAATAGAGAAAGAACACCACCTTCCAGGGTTCAGGAGAAGGAAGGGCAAAGAGAACTACAGAGATAAGGAGTGAATGCTGGTGCTTATCTTTTTCAAGCAATTCAATAAAAAGCCTGTGACCTTCAGAATTAAAAAAAAAAAATCAACATCTGGTAATAAAATATTGAGTACAAGATTGAAAATCTGTAAAATGATAAACATTTGGCAATACTATATATGAGATTACAAATGTAAAATTATAAAATAGTTTTGACAAAGATGACATAACATTAAAACAAGACAAAATGATATATCAGAAATTTCAATGAAAGTTATAAGAGTAAACTTCTGTATTGACTATTATGAGATTAATAAGTATTGATCATGTCATCTATAAAGGGAAGAGTAATTTCTGTATTAGAAAGTTGCAGCATGACTCATTTTTGGCAAAGAAGGATAACATAACTTAGACTACGTAGGATAGGCCTCTTCACAATTGGTAGGATTGAAACATGATTTCAGTGAATTTTTGGCAAATTTTTGTAGTAGTTTTTTCTTGCTTAAAATATTTATGATACATGCACTGCTGCTGAATGGAATTGTAGCTTGTGTTTCTCAATTTACATAGAGGATTTCACATAATCTTGGAGGTTCTACGTTGTTTTCTAAAGGGTTTTCTTATGTTTGGGGAAATTTGAGGGCACGTGACCTCCTTCGAAGCTGCTCTCCTGATACAATAATCATGTCCTGTACTGCTCAGTGCCACCCACTGAAGCAGACCCTGTGACCCTGTGGTTAGGATTCACCAACTGACGACTCTCCTAGTTTTGTGTGCATCAGAGTCACTAGGAATTCTAATTTTTAACAAAACTTTCAAGTGATTCTATGACATACAAAAATGCATATTACTTTAGAATTTGATCACTTTTGACACTCAGATCTTTAAAAAATTTAAATACACTTAAAATAGTAAAATTAGGATTTTAAGTGTTACTGAATGTATTTTACTACTACTAGCTGATGCTAGTATTAATCACTAAGTGCCAGGTTTTGCAGAGAGTGCTTTACTTATATTAACTTATTTACTCCTCACAACATTCTTGATGCAGGTACCATTATTATCTCCATTTTTATCAATGAGGACATTGAGGCACAGAGATGTTAAATAGTCCACCCACCTAGTAAGTGACTGAGTTAGAGTTGGAACATGGACAGTCAGCCTCAAAGATCACACTGCTAGCCACTCTGCTCTCCTGCCTCTCCACTAAGAGTTAACTTGGTAAGAAATTATGAATGTTGACTTATTTTGACAGCAATTTGACACCGCACTTTAAAAAAAAACATATTCCCTTAATCCAGTTTCATTAAGGTTTGATATGCTTTCTCTTATCACACTTAACACTCCTCAGAGTAAAACTCATACTTCATATGTGTTCTCTAGTGCCTATAGTTAAGCTCACCTACTAACTATTATACTATGGCTTAATAAAATTAGGGTAAGCAAAAATAGCTACCTGTTTCCAAGTATTTAGTATATGCTATGTGCTATGGTAAGTATTTTTCCAGCAGTTTGTCATTGAAACCTTTCTCCTGTAGCAGCTGTTCTTTCATGAGTGCAAACTAGGTAGTTCACAATAGTCTCAACATTCGTGGTGCATCAGAATCACCTGTGAGTGGTCCTCGCATACAATTACCAGGCGCCAGTCCTGGCGATTCTGATTGAATTTGTCTGAACTGCAGCGGCATGAGGATAGTTTTAGACCCTCCCTACTTGCCTTCATCTGCTTCGTGCTTCTGTAACAGAATATATGAGACTGCGTAGTTTATAAAGAACGGAAATTTATTTCTTATAATACTAGAGGCTGGGAAGTCCAAGATGAAGGGGCTTAAATCTGGTGAGGGTCTTCTTATTGCATCATCCCATGGTGGAAGGCAGAAGGACAAGAGAGCATGTGTATGAGAGAGAGCAGGGCAGGGGGCTGAAGTTAACCCATTCCCAAGATAATGGTGTTAATTCATTCATGAGGATGGAGCCCACATGACTTAACCACCTCAGAAAGGTCCGACCTCTTAACACTGTTGCGTTGGGGATTAAGTTTCAACGCATAAACTTTGGGGTCATGTTCAAATCACAGCACTACTGAATTCCAATGTGCAGTCAGAGTTGAAAACCACTCTGAGCTAAATGCTTTACATATGAATTTTATTTAAACCTTAGGAAAACCTAGTGAGGTCGGTATTATTTTCCTCATTTTATTTATGAGGAAATTGGTTCAGAGAAGTTAAATAACTTGGCCAAATTACTAAAGGGCCAAGCCAGGGATTCCAACCTGTGTCTTGCTAACTCAAAAGTTTATTGCCATAACCATCACACTATTCTACGCAGGAGCCATCCCATTTGTGGAATTCAGTTAAGGGCCTGGCCTGGATGCATTTCTAGCCTTCCACTGCCACTCACCTACTACTACACCCTCCCCCTCCCATGGCAGCCTCTCACTCTCCAGTGGCCTGACTTAAAAGCTTATGCCATTTCACATTATTCCAGCTTTATTGGCTCAACAGTGAAGTTAGGACATCTTTCCAGATGGCAGCCAAGCTTCAGTATAGAGCAAAGCAAAACCAACCACAGGGGAAGGTTGCACTATATCTACTTAAGTACATTCTTTTGATGTGAATAGTGTGCCTCGCACTCAGAGTAAATTAGTTTAGTCAGGCTTAGTCAGAGACCCAGGGGGAGATGCTTGGATTCAGGCAGCGGGCCAGAATGCAGCCGCCCTAAAGTATTTCCATAAACCATCACACTGCTAATATTGCAGCCAGAGGCCTTTTTGGAGTTCAGCTTTGTGTTTTACAATTTCACTCTAAAAAGTAGTTTATGCAGCGGGAACTAAAAAAATCACTTTACATTTGACTTTCCTTTTGGTCACATGGACTTCACCCAAGACACCCCTTCTGAGAGTTGGCAAGAGATGAGGAGGTTCCCAGCCTTGGTCCTGGCTTAATAATCATTCTTTACTTTTGCAGTATCCTCATTAAAGTCATTCCACACACATGGCCTCATGAGCTCATAGGTTACTAGACAAGGTGATATTTCTATGCTGTATATTTAAAATGAATCTTACAAACCTCCTAAAAGAAAGGAAGGAAGGAGAAGAGAGAGAAAGAAAGGAAGGAAGGGGGGAAGAAAAAGAAGAAAGAAGGAAAATAATCTACTAACTCTCACTGATATTACAAAATAAACATATAAAGACTGACGATGAACATTCTCCCCATTCTTGTTTCTCTGACTCTCCTCCTCTCGTGCTTCCCTTTGCATGCTCCACTGCAGCCGTCCAGGGTGAGCACTGTGCCTGTCACATGCTGCCACTTTCAGGGCAGCTCCACTGATCTTTGCGTGGACTTTATTGCTCTTTCCTGCTCCAGAGAAATGCTCTTACCCTCAAATGGAATTGTTTTCCTCCTGCTCTTTGTCTTCTCCTTCCCATCACTTCCCATCCCATTCTTCCTCCATAGAGCCCTGAGTTGTTCTACCCTGCCTACTGACCTCAGCAGTAGTAGTCAGCATCCCAATATCTTCCACATGAATATCTTTCCCATCATATGTGGCTTCCCTTTACTTTTTTCTCTCCCCACGACCTGAAATCTTCCTACTCTGTCTCCCGCCTCCGCCTCATTTTGTCTTCTTTTCCAAATTTACCATTTATGTTATATTGCAAATATTTATTGAGCGGCCAGCCTGCTGGGCACTGCAAGGAGATGACAGAATTGTAAATCTCTGCCCTGGAGCAGCTCCAGTCTGGCTTCTCTGAGTGAATTCAAACAGATGTGGCTAGATCTAAACCTTCATCTCTCTTTTACTCTGAAACCTTACAGCGGCCCCAATTGTTCTTACCTGCAGTCTCTCTTGCTGACATCCATCAATCAGCGTCTGCACCCTAACAGTTACAAAGGAAACAAAAGACACCTAAAGCTATTAACTACTACTTCCCAGAAAGCCTCATTACCATCCCGTGGAAGTAATATCCGGAGTAGCAGATTAGCCTTCTTGCAAAAGAAAAATGCAACAAATTATTTCTAAGCTGAGTTTAAGAAGATCATACTTTAGACGGGCACCAGAATTCCCCTTGTGTCAGTGCCTTGGAAGACCCCCAGGCAAGTTTAGAAATCCCCATTTAACCTAAGGGTTAAATGTTGTCAAAATTCAGCAGGCAGTTCCTCCTTTTTACCTCTCCTGGTTGAAAGAGAACATGTCACAAATTAATAAAAGAATATTTTTGGGGTGCCATATGTCAGAACATTCTAAGTACATTTTTCATTTAAACCTCTTAACAATCATTTAGAGGTTCTATGATCATGTCCATTTGGCAGATTAGGAAACTGACGCACAAAGTGTTTATATAAATTATAGAAGCATGCTGTGGAGCCAGGATTTGACACATGTAATAAAACTCTTGATACCTAAAACTTTAACCGCCCTTTATACAGCCTCCCACAATGACAGCAGCTCCATCCAGTATCCTGATGTGGGGTGGGGGGCACCTGAAGCTTTTGCCATGCAAACTCAGGGTGGCTGCACCTTTAGGAGAAATTACCTCTCAGTGTCCTTCAGTACGCTAGAGCTCCTCTAGTTGGAGACAAGGTCCACGAATCTTCTGCCACAAAATATAAGAATTTTTAATAATTAAAATTGAAAATGAAGCTTCTGTCATATGCATGGCAAAAAAGTGCACAAGTCTTTAAGCTTCTTGAAAAGAAGTTTTGTTGTTTTCTTTAATTTCCGTGAGTACATAGTGGGTGTATACATTTAGGAGGTACATAAGATGTTTCAATACAGGCATGCAATGTGAAAAAAATACATCATGAAGAATGGGTTATCCATCTCATCAAGAATTTATCCACTGAATTGCACACACTCTTTAAGTTATTTTAAATGACACTCTTTATTTTTAAATCCAATGACACTCTTTATTTTAAAATGTACAGTTATTATTGACTATAGTCACCCTGTGAATTTTAAAGTGATTAGTTCACCATCATTTTGTACCTTACCTTCAACTTCTAGCCATGGCTATGCCCATTTGGACAATAAATAGGGAAGAAAAAAGAAAAAGGAGGAAAGGAAGGTAATGTAAGAGGAGAGGAGGGGAGGGGAAGGAAAGAGACCAGCAACTTGTCTGAGTGCAATGCCATCTTGCAGGGGAAAGCATTTTTCAGAGATTCACAGTCCCTATTGTTCTTCCTCAAAGGCCTGCTGACCAATAACGACTGATTCTGGATCTACCTTACGACCTTCCTGGGCCTTCTGCACTTGAAAGCAGGCACTGCTTATTGAGGATGGTTTATGGGCTTTGCTTTATATACTTATGATTCTGTTTTGCTTAGTGCTGGGTCTCAAAAAGCCTAGAAAGCCATGTCCCCGCCTCCTTGAGACATTAAACACAAGGAAGAGAATCCTAGATGTTTTAGAAAAATATAAAAAATTCTAGTGGATTGCTGGGGTAAAACTGCCCAAGTACATTTATTTTGCCTCCATTCTCCTTTTAAGCCTGCTGAGTAGTAGTTCTTTCCCCTGTACTTCAGATGGAAACCCGTGCCATCCAATGATGATGTCACTTATGTAAGTAAAGTCATTATCACACTTTAATCACAGAACATACCTTTAATTCAGAAATTAAGTCTTCATACCAAGTGTTAGAAATAAACTTTCGGTGCCGCAAAAGAAATAGCACTTCAGCAAAAATTTTCTCAGCAAGGCAATTTACTTGTATAGAAGAGTGCATTTCATGGATGGAGCAATGGCGAGAGCACACCTGAACAAGGGAGGGTAAGGGGTTTTTATCCCAGATGTGGGTAGCTCCTACTGCTGTGTCGTTCGCCTATTGGCTAGGGTTGGACCACACAGTCTAAGCTAATTCCAATTGGCTATTTTAAAGAGAGCAGGGGTACGAGCCGGAGTGGTGGTGTGAATAGTTTGGCGGGAAGGATGGTTACAGAACAGGTGACTCAGGATGACTCACGTCACAGCAGGTGACCAGGGGTGACTCAGGACAGATCAGGTGATAGAGGCTAGGAGGGGGGTGTTTACTGAAACTAGGGGCAAAGAAACAAAGAGAACAGAGGAAGTTAAACTTTAAAATGAAGGACAAAAAACAGAGAATCTGAACATACTGATGCATTGGTTCTTTGGAGAGGATCTCAGAACTCATTGTACTTAACAATTTACAGGCTAAAACCTTTGAAGAGGAATTTATTATATCCTATACAAGACAAGCGATACTTCAACCTTCTTTCAAAAGGAAGCCGCTTCAGCCCACACCAGCCACAGACAAACATCTGCCTTCAAATGCAAGGTGGACTCCTTCTCTCTTTCTCATTTCTAGCCATGACTGTCCAAGAGTACATTCCAAGAGTCTTAGCTGCTGGGGCTTTCTGATTCCTTTGATCTGGCTAGGGTCTCTCCTTCTCCTTCAGCTGGTTGCTCTTCTATCCACTCAGCAACACCTTTGGAAGAAAATCCATTCCTTTTACTTCTGAGACCCCCTTGCCTTGGCAGCCACATTGCATAAGAAATGCCCTTTTGAGATGGAGTTTCACTCTTGTTGCCCAGGCTGGAGTGCAATGGCACGATCTCAGCTCACTGCAACCTCTGCCTCGTGGGTTCAAGCTATTCTCCTGCCTCAGCCTCCTGAGTAGCTGGGATTACAGGCACCCGCCACCACACCTGGCTAATTTTTGTATTTTTAGTAGAGACAGGGTTTCTCTCCATGTTGGTCAGGCTGGTCTCAAACTCCCGACCTTAGGTGATCCACCTGCCTTGGCCTCCCAAAGTGCAAAAAATGCCTTTTAAACAGACCCTGGACTAAACTTTCTGCTGCTGCTCCCAACTCTGCTCTCTGGGATATACGTGACTTTGAACCACAATCTCAGGAAAATTCAGTTACTTTGCAGGTGCAGCACCTTTACTCAGCTGCTGTGGGCAAGCAGGAAACTGACACCAACCCTCTGTATTGCCAACTACAGGGAACATTCATCAAGCTTTTCCAATGGCCCTGATGCATGCCTGTCACATCACCAAGAATGAACTAAGTGGCAGTGCTCCCTCTACTCCCCTTAGTTCTTTGACCTGATAAATCACCTTCCAAGGTATTCTTTTAATCTCTGTTCTCTCAACCTTTTAATCTCCCTCTTGAATATGAAAGTTCCTAGAGTTGTAAACCAATTCTCAAACAATTGTTTGAAAATCTACATCATAGCCTGGCACCTCATTTTGAAATTCCATAGCTATTGTATGAGGATGGTCCAGTTGAAACTTTCTATTTACTATCTTGTTACAGAAGGATAAATGTTTCTGCTCTCAAATGGAGTAAATAGCCACACATATGAAAAGTGTTTTTTTTAATTCTACACCAGGTGCTGGGGATTCATCAACAGGAATTCTGAACCATCTCCTTGTCAGTGCCTGCCCAGGTAGGGAAAGGGGGTCAGTGCCACGAGCAGGGCAGGGTGTTGCAGGATGTGGGCCAATGTGAACAGGTCCCTCTTCAAAACACAGTGGTGCCATCATGTCCATTCTGCTTCAGACACAGCCTGCAGTATTCACAATAAGTATAGCAACCTATGCAACTGCCTCACTGTGGAGCCCTCGGGAGGGAATTTAAAGCAGCGCACACGCCTCTGGCTTCTCATAGACGAGGAGAATGTGTCCATTTCCTAGGGGAAAGCCTAATTTAAAAGAATTATAACGGCAAGAAAATCCCAGAAACCTAGCACTCACATGTAATAAGAACATCTCAGGGAGTGCAAGAAGGGGACAGCAAAAACTTTTGTTGGGGCTCAAAGAACAATACCCCAAAGTACAGTGCTTTGGAACTCTGAACACTTTTAAGTTAAAGAAAATTGCAAGACAGAAGCGACCTCAAAACCAAAGGCTTTCTAACCTTTCCTTTCACCCCCAACCACGCACAGGGAAGGGCTCTCTCTGGAAGTTCTCTTATCTGACTGAGGAAGGAAACTTCTTCCAAAAGAAATGAAATTGTCTTGAAACCTCTGATATGGTTTGGATTTGTGTCCTCACCCAGATCTCATGTTGAATTACAATCTCCAGTGTTGAAGGTGGAGCCTGGTGGGAGGTGACTGGAGCATGGGGGCGGTTTCTCATGGTTTAACACCATCCCCTTTGGTGCTGACAAAGTGATAGTGAGTTCTTATGAGACCTTGTTTAAAAGTGTGTGGCACCTACCCAATCTCTCTGTTCTGTCTGCTCCAGCCATGTGAAATGCTGGCTTCCCCTTTGCCTTCCACCATAATTGTAAGTTTCCTGAGGCCTCCCCAGAAGTTGAGCAGGAGCCACTGTGCTTCCTATTCAGCCTACAGAACTGTGAGGCAATTAAACTTCTTTTCTTTTTAAATTACCCAGTCTCTGGTATTTCTTTACAACAGTGCAAGAACAAATTAATACAACCTCATTCCTAGGAATCACATCAAATAACCAGGAAAGGTTTACTTTTGGAGAAAAGATCAAAACTTGTCACAATGCACAGACTTCATCTATACTTCTAGGAGCATCTCCAAGGAATTATCTGGGAGATATTATCTACATAATAAGACAACGTCTGTTCACAGTGAAGTTCCACCCCTTACCTTCCCAAAATTTGTCACTACCTCCCCAGAGCTTAGAGGAACTTTGTCTCAGTTCTTTGTCCGTTCTTGGGGCTCATTCAGTTTCCAGAAGGAATCACTTACAAACTGTTGCCTGCTCTTTTGGGCATTTCCCCTAAAAATCATTTACTACCCCTCTAAAATGGCTACACCTTCATTTCTCTCTTCCCTATGAAGAGGGGTATATAAGTCCCTGAATCTGATTGTGTTAGAGGACAATACTGTCCTGTGATTTTTCCCCCATGCACATTAATAGACTTGTATGCCTTTTCTTCTATTAACCTGTCTACTGTCAGCTCATTTCAGTGAACTTTCAGAGGGTAGAAGGGAATTCACCTCTACAGTTTGAATTTACATTTTATAATTTGTGTCAAAACCTGAAATCTTTTTAAACATATTTTAACATATTGCCCTCAACACTCTCTAAAAGGAAAAAAAAAAACCATTTGAAGGTAATAAAATAAATCTCATTTATTCAATATTAGCAAGTACACTGTAAGAAGAAAAAAAATCAACCCTGTGACAGAGCCTTCAAAACTCTTCTGAACAAATATAGAAATATACTTGGAGGCACAATATTACAATGAATCAATTCTATTGTAAAAATTCTTCTAAGATAGATATTGTAATAGAAAATTTCATTGTGAAAATTGCCTAAAAGTACCTAAGGTTGACATGGAAACATGCTAACCATTAGTAAACCGAATTAGTTTTTAACATGATGAGGATTTTTCTCTTCATTTCTAATTTTTATTCACGTAAGCCTTCATTCTTTGTACATTTTGTAAGTAAATAGTTTGTGGAGAAACTGATTTGAAAATTAAGCTGAGGTTTATAAATATTTAAAATACAATTTTGTGACAAAAATCTAACCTGAATTATATTCAATATCAGAATCAGAGTATTGGAATACTTTCCTTTCTAACTGTTGCAGGAGAACATAATGAAGGGCAGGATAAAGACAGTCAGAACCAAATATGCACAAATCTCTTCTCAGCCAGCACAGTAGGTCACTAACAATCCCTGCCTTGTTGGTTCCTCTTGTTTTTCTGTTCCTGTTTCCACAGGAGTTATGAGGACCTTATGGGATAGTTGAATAGCTATGGCAGTGATTTGGATGGCTGTAGGACTTTATTGTATGCAGACTATTTTCCTACTCTATTGTCAGAAAATCCATTGTAATTTTCCTCTCAGGGTAGATGAAAGCAGTGGCTTTATAAATTTTTTAAAGCTTTGTGCTAATCTAGGATACTGGTACTTTTCTTCAGAGCTATGTAAATATGTCTTTTCAACTAATTCAATATTTCCGTCCTTACTGACTCATTGGGAAAGAATTAACATACCAATGCAGAGTAAAAAAAGAGAGAAGGACTGTCTAGGAAAAAAAATAATGTTGGCAAAGTACACTGAAGTTTTATAAGACATGAGCGCCAGTTCCTCATTAAAGAAAGAGTAACAGTAATAAAATCATTAATAATAATCACATGGTAATAAAAAAAGCACTGGTTAGAAAGCAACTACTACAGAGAAAAATGGAACCCTGACATGTGGTAAGGGCATGTATGTTCATATGGCTTTTTCTCTGTGAAGATGGGTTTGTCTTGGTCTTTTGCCCCTCACTCTCCCGTTGTCATTGTGTATGAATCAGGTGGCAAGTTCAGAATACAATGACATTCCCAGTGACTGAAGTCACAGCAGAATCTTGGCTTTACTGCCTTTTCCCTCTGTTTCCCACCCATTTCACAGCCACATAAAACAAGTATCTGGTATTCTATTAGCCAAGGAGCATTGAGCCTATATGCACATTTCTTACCAGCAGACCACAGATTTCCATGAAGACAGAAACATTAAAAGCTTGAGCAATAGTTGGAGAGGTAACCGTCTTACCCATCTAACCCTGTACCTTATTCAATATCTCTCACAAAAGCGACCATCTTGTACTATAACTGTATTAACTATATTTTGACCTAAGAAGATAGGTTGTTCTGCCACTTTTGTGTGCTATTTATACATTTTTCCCTCTATTTTGAGTGCCCTTTCCATGTTTTGTAAATCTACTTGCTAAATTATTGGCTTTTTTTCCATCAAGTTTCAGGTTAAGCATTAATGTTTTTGCAAACCCTTCACTGATTTCCTCAGGCACATCGGGGTATGACACCTGCTCCATTATCATAACTTACACGTGTCATCTTGATGTCGGTTGCTAATGTACTATTATAATTATTTGTTTGCAGGTCTATATTAGGTGCAATGACCTTATTTGTTGATTTCTGCCTCAATCACTAACACAGTGACTGTACTACAGTGGTATCTGTAAGGGAGGAAAAATAATTTTCTCTCCACCCTTCTAAGTTATTAGCTGGAACAGATCCTTGTAACAAAAGAGATTATCCAGAGAAAAACAACAGAAGTTTATTAACATGTGTACTTCATATATATATGGGAGTTAGAGAAATAACTCAATTTCAAATAGATGTCTTAGAATATTGGCTAAATACTATCATCCACTGAAACAAAGAAAGAAGGGGTGGGGGGGGCCAGTTATGGGAAGGTGACCAGGAAAAGTAGGGTAAACAAGAATAAGGCTTGTTATGGAAATTTAAGTCTTCTCCTTGATAAGAGTTCCTTGTGATTTAGTCATCTTTCTCTTTTTGGTACAAAAAGGGAAACACCCTTACATATGGAAATTTCCTTTATAAATGTAAATTTCCCTTACAAAAGGGTAACATCTATTCTGTTTTCAGAACTTCTCCTGGGTATGCTATACCTCAAAATAATCCTTATGCCAAACAGGCATATTTGGGGGTGGCATAATTTGGTATCCTACATATGCAATAGTCAATAAATGAGTGATGCTAGAAGTATATGATCATCACACCCCTGAACTGTACTGCTAGAAAGGGGCCAAGAGCTGTCAATCAAGGCAATAGGTTTTGATTCCAGAACCTTACCTAGTAGAGTTATTGGGTATCCCCTCCTTGCCCCGTCAGCGTTTTTGTTTTGTTTTGTTTTTTTGGGTCACACATTTCCCTAAGTGCCATGTAAGTTGCTCCTGATGCTGTAGATATTGCCAGTATCACTTCAGCTACATGGTCATCTCAATCATCCCTGGCTACTGCACCTGCCACCACTGACAGCACTTCCCCAAGCATGCCAACGTTGCCACCAACTGCTCTAAAGCTCTGGTTCTCAATGGGGGTAACTTTGTCCTCACAGGAGACATTTTTGGATGTTACAAATAGAGGAGGGGATGCTACTGGCATCCAGTGGGCAGGCTAGTGATGTTGCTCAACATCTTACACTGCGCAGGTCAACAATAATCTGACCAAAAATGTCAGAAGTGTTGAGGCTGAGAAACCCTGCACCAAAGTGAAACAGCATATCTTCCCCACTAGCATTGTAGGGTTTTAATGTGATTTCCCAAAGACGATCTGACTCTCCTGATTCTATAAGTTTCCTTGCAGCATTTTTTCACATGGTTTAAGATAAAATTCCCCAGAACTGAGGTACAGAATATTTATGTTATTATTGAGACCACCTTTGCAAAAATTATTATAGTGTGAGAAATCTAAAATAAACTGACTCCATCTTGCTTCTAACGTCACAAGCTACCTGCCCTTATTTCTGGGTGTAGGCCAAGCTAACTGTGGGAAGAATTTAATTTATAGTTTTTTTTTAAGCAAGGATGATAATAGTTCCTAGCCAAAACTGATGCCCCTCTGGGGACAGAAACTGCCTTTGCAAGACTTATGAAAGGCCAGAACTTGAGGATTATGGGAGGGACCTTAATTCTGCTAAGATGTAGACATAGTTAAATAATAAACAGGCATTGTTCCCTATCTTGGTATCTTGGTTTTTCATAATCTGTTACTGCTCAAGTGTCACATAGCCAGAGGTCACAAGATTGGTAATGTCCCAGATTGCTCCTGTAAATAACATCACTATTGTAAAACCTAAGATTTGTCTTTGAGATATTTTTCAGACTTTTGCATTCCATTGACTGACTGACTCAACCCACACCCATGACTCATATGAGGGAACTGACTTAACCAGTCCTGTGGCCCCTCACCCAGAAACAGATTCAGCAGACCACTTTGACAAGTGGTCTTTCCAAACAGAGAGCCAAATCATGAGTGAACTCCCATTCACAATTGCTTCAAAGAGACTAAAATACCTAGGAATCCAACTTACAAGGGATGTGAAGGACCTCTTCTAGGAGAACTACAAACCACTGCTCAGCAAAATAAAAAAGGACACAAACAAATGGAAGAACATTCCACGCTCATGGATAGGAAGAATCAATATTGTGAAAATGGCCATACTGCCCAAGGTAATTTATAGATTCAGTGCAATCCCCATCAAGCTACCAGTGACTTTCTTCACAGAATTGGAAAAAACTACTTTGAAGTTCATATGGAACCAAAAAAGAGCCCGCATTGCCAAGATAATCCTAAGCCAAAAGAACAAAGCTGGAGGCATCATGCTACCTGACTTCAAACTATACTACAAGGAGACAGCAACCAAAACAGCATGGTACTGGTACCAAAACAGAGATATAGACCAATGGAACACAACAGAGTCCTCAGAAATAATACCACCACATCTACAACTATCTGATCTTTGACAAACTTGACAAAAACAAGAAATGGGGAAAGGATTCCCTATTTAATAAATGGTGCTGGGAAAACTGGCTAGCCATATGTAGAAAGCTGAAACTGGATCCCTTCCTTACACCTTATACAAAAATCAATTCAAGATGGATTAAAGACTTAAATGTTAGATCTAAAACCATAAAAACCCTAGAAGAAAACCTAGGCGTTACCATTCAGGACACAGGCATGGGCAAGGACTTCATGTCTAAAACACCAAAAGCAATGGCAACAAAAGCCAAAATTGACAAATGGGATCTAATTAAACTAAAGAGCTTCTGCACAGCAAAAGAAACTGCCATCAGAGTGAACAGGCAACCTACAAAATGGGAGAAAATTTTCACAACCTACTCATCTGACAAAGGGCTAATATCCAGAATCTACAATGAACTCAAACAAATTTACAAGAAAAAAACAAACAACCCCATCAAAAAGTGGGCAAAGGATATGAACATACACTTAGCAAAAGAAGACATTTATGCAGCCAACAGACACATGAAAAAATGCTCATCATCACTGGCCATCAGAGAAATGCAAATCAAAACCACAATGAGATACCATCTCACACCAGTTAGAATGGCGATCATTAAAAAGGTCAGGAAACAACAGGTGCTGGAGAGGATGTGGAGAAATAGGAACACTTTTACACTGTTGGTGGGACTGTAAACTATTTCAACCATTGTGGAAGACAGTGTGGTGATTCCTCAAGGATCTAGAACTAGAAATACCATTTGACCCAGCTGTCCCATTACTGGGTATATACCCAAAGGATTATAAATCATGCTGCTATAAAGACACATGCACATGTATGTTCATTGTGGCACTATTCACAATATCAAGACTTGGAACCAACCCAAACGCCCATCAATGATAGACTGGATCAAGAAAATGTGGCACATATACACCATTGAATACTACGCAGCCATAAAAAAGGATGAGTTCATGTCCTTTGTAGGGACACGGATGAAGCTGGAAACCATCATTCTGAGCAAACTATCGCAAGGACAGAAAACCAAATACCACATGTTCTCACTCATAGGTGGGAATTGAACAATAAGAACACATGGACACAGGACGGAGAACATCACACACCAGGGCCTGTCATGGGGTGGGGGGAGGGGAGAGGGATAGCATTAGGAAATATACCTAATGTAAATGACGAGTCAATGGGTGCAGCACACCAACATGGCACATGTATATACATGTAACAAACCTGCACATTGTGCACATGTACCCTAGAACTTAAAGTATAATCATAAAAAAAATAAAAAAGAAAAAAAAGAAAAGCGGTCTTTCAACACCCCTAAGATTTCAATCCCAACCACTCAGCAGCACCCATTCCCTAGTTCCCTGTCTGACAAATTAGCCTTAAAAACCCTAGCCTCTAAGTTCTCAGGGAGGTGGATTTGTGAAATATCTCCTGTCCTTTCACTTGCTGTCTTGCAGTAATTAAACTCTCTACTGAAACACTGCCGCCTCACGTATTGGCTTTTCTATGCAGCAGACAAGAAGAACCCATTAAGCTGTAACATTATCACCAAGTATCTGACTAAATAAGACCCCTTCTAGTGGTCTAAACTATTGCCCTGAAACAGAGCCCAAATACCTTTACTTAATTAAATTTGGGTTAAGTTCCCTGTCTACTCAGTAAATTAAAGACAGTGTTTATTTTACCACTTGCTCATTCTTGATCCTTATGTGTGATTCTAAACCCAGTGTACTAGGGCTTAGCCTTTAGTCTTAAAGACACCTTTAGCATTTCTTCCTGCTGATATTTAGGATTTTCATAAAAATAGAACATCTGGTGTCCTACTGTAATGTTGCAGAGTTGCTAAAGTGGAAATACCAATCAGGATCTCCTAAATCTCTTGCCATATAAGTACTGTCCACTAAGCATTGCTCCACAACGTTTCTCAGAAAACATATACAAAGTAATACTTTCTGTAGGAAGCAGCAGAGTAAACAGACTGAAAACCCCAGGCCATGCCTACCCACCATGGGGAATGAAGACAAATCACATCTCTGCATACCCATAAGCCATTCTTTTCCGGTCAACAACTGTTCCATGGACCATTGATTGTTAAACTCTTTCTTACAAAGAAAGGACATAGAATCAAAGGGTAGAGGAATAAGAGGATTTCTTTTTGTTTAAAATTCAGACAAATTAAATTTAACAGAATTTAATTGAGCAAAGAATGAATCATGAATCAGGCAGCCTCCCCCACTCCCAGACAAAAATTGGTTCAGGGCAACCCTGGAGGTGGTCAGCATGATCAGAAAGGATTTACAAACAGAAAAAGGAAGGTAACATACAGAAAGTAGAAGTGAAATACAGCAACAACCGGATTAGTTATAGCTCAATGTTTGCCTTGTTTGAACACAGTTTGAACAGTTTGCCACCTCTGATTGGCTGAAACTCAGTGATTGGTACAAGAGTAGGTTGTTGTCTGTTTACACATCCAGTTAGGTTACAATTCACTATGTAAGGAGAAATCTTCAGATCAAACTAAAAATGTGTATGGAGACAGCTTTAGACTAAACACAATTTAACAGAATTGTCTCACAAGAACTTGTCTCACAGGAACCAAAGTGACAGGCATGGACAGAGGGAGGAAGGCCCAGGCCCCCTTATTTGAATGAGAAGGAAAGGAAGGGAGCTAACAATGGGGTAAGCCAGTTTTTATGCTCTTCTTTTTGGATTTTTTGTGATAAAATGAAAGGCCAAATGTGGGCTTTTCTCTTACTGTGACACAAGAAGTTCCACGTGGCTCCAAGCAATAAAGGTTTAAAACACTCCAATTCCAATATGAAAGGAAATAATCTTCAGACAGCAGCTTAAAGAACTCATGGTGCGGTGGCTCACGCCTGTAATCCCAGAACTTTGGGAGGCCGAGGCGGGCGGATCACGAGGTCAGGAGATTGAGACCATCCTGGCTAACATGGTGAAAACCCGTCTCCACTAAAAATACAAAAAAAAAAAATTAGCCGGGCATGGTGGCAGGCACCTGTAGTCCCATCTACTCAGGAGGCTGAGGCAGGAGAATGGTGTGAACCCGGGAGGCGGAGCTTGCAGTGAGCCAAAATCGCGCCACTGCATTCCAGCCTGGGCAACAGAGCAAGACTCCGTCTCAAAAAATAAATAAATAAATAAATAAAATAAAGAAGCACAAGGATATATTCTAGAATATCAAATATGGAAACCAATGATGTAAAAGCCTGGAAATTCTATCTCAAATAATCTAAAATGGATATAGATATTGCAAAGCAGGGTCACTGGTTACCAACTTGTCTGATTCTGATGAGATAGAACACCTAACACAAATTACATAAAGCAAATTTATTACTTACAGATAGACAAGGGAAAATAGAAGCCTAGAATCCATTGCATGCTAGACCCCCAAGGCTCAGAAAAGCTGCCCAGAGCAAATGAAGTCTTGATGACATATGCCCCACTTGTATCACAGCTGATATCACTTGTATCACACCAGAAAGGGGTCTGCTTTGGGTTTAATAGCCTCTGATCATGTGAATAGCTGGGATAGTGCATTGAGAGATATCTTCTTTCTAAGGTTGGACTGAACAGTTCTAGCCAGCCCTCCCTGTCTCAGGAGGTTACATTCCCAGCATATTCTATAGTTATTTTTGAGAAGCACAAATAATAATAAGAAAAGCCCTGAACTGAACTGTAGGTAGTATAGCAGAAATGGAGAAACAGCATGAATCTAAGTACAAAAGCCTTGACTAGATGGTTCAGGGGCTTGTAAACCATTCTTAACGAATTTTTAAATTTACTTTAGGAGCCTTAGGGAGCCTTTGCAAAGTTTTAAGTAATGGGAAGACATAATTAGATTTACATTTAAGAAAGATTATGCTGTATGCCTTGTGGAGAATAGATTTGATTCACAGAAATCTCTGGAAACCAAGCATGTTTGAATAAACTGCACATAAATCCTACGTGAGTTGGCAAAAGACAGATTTTATCTCAGTCTTCAGAGATGGAGCCGAAGATTGAAGACTAAACCAGGAACTGGGCACAAATACAAGAGGACCACATTTCTGTGTTGCACAATTTGGTCATTTGTGGATGGATGGTGTTTTTTGGGTCACAGGCAGGAATACTCCCTGTGTCTCTGCAGAAACAATAAGAAGTGAAGCTCTGCTACAATGGGTTAAAAAGGGAATGGGAGGTAAAGAAGTGAAGACTGTCAATTTAAACAGCTCTTTCAACAAGGGAGCATTCAACAGAATGAGTTGAGAGGGAGAAGCCTATAAAGAGAAAAGCAGCAGTCTTCTAGTTGCCAGACCCCAGCTTCTCTTTTTTCAGTTTCAAATGAATGAGAAGATTAGCAAGAGGATCCTGAAAAGGTTTACCATTTAGGTTTAAAGAGAATCCTGAGATTCAAAAGGGCATCGTGGTAAGAATTGGTAGGGGAATCAGATTAGGATGGGAGAGAAAGAAACAATATCAGAAGGATTTAAATTTTATAGGGGTGACCAAAGATTGAGCAGCATAGACAGGAATAGCTGCCCTAAAGTACGTGAGTGGAAATCAATCAGGTGATAAGATGTATTAGAGGGGCTGTGCTTCAGCATATTGTCGTGACAAGATGATAAAAGAGCATTGCTTAAATCTCAGTGTGTCACAGCTAGCTAGCTACTGCGGAGTCATGAAGAAGAAAGAAGGGAGACACAATATTTAATACTGGGGGAGATTATTTGCACAGCTCAGGCACTTAAATGTTTCTCAGGAGTTTTAAGTGATGCTCTTATTTCTCAAGATAAACATTTCCAAAAGAAACAGAAACATTAAAAAAAAATCAAGAAATGAGAAAGTGAAACTTTGGGCCAAAACCAATCTGCAAAGATTTCAAAAATCTAGTGTCATGCACCCCAAAATCTACTTTTAGTCTAACTGAGGTATACATTAATAACAAGAAAAAATATTTTCAAACTTCATAATTTGGAAATTCCAAACACAACCGAATGACTCAAAGGCCAAGAGAAAAATCACAAAAGAAATTATAAAATACTTAGAACTGAAAGATAATAAAAAGCTTTATATCAAAACTTTTGAACTGTAGCTAAATCAACATTAAAGGAAATCTGTAACCTTTATATGTTTTTATTAGAATAGGAGGAAACGTGAATGTCAGTAAATAAGCATACAACTTGAGAAGTTAGAAAAATGTCAACCAAAAAATAGAAAAAAATAAAATAAAGATGAGAAGGGCAATAATTAATGGGAAAAGAGGAACTATGGCAAAATAAAGAGGATCAAGAAAAGCAAAGCTTATGTGTTGAAAACATTAATAAAACTGACAAACCTTAGGCAAAACAGATTATGAAAGAGAAAGGGGAAAAGAGACAGAAATGGCATATATAAACAATACTAAAAATTTTAAGAGTATAATAGAGATTTTAAAAAATAAGTTAATACTATGTCTCTATGCCATTAATTTGAGAACACGTAAAATGGACATATTCTTAGAAAAATACAAATTTCCAAAACTGACTCAATATTAAATAGAAAAACACAAATTGTTATAACATTAAAGAAAATAAGTCATTTAAAAACTACCCAAAAGGATTTACCACTGAGTTGTACCAAATTTTAAAGAAAAAAAAATCCCACTTACACAAATCTTTTCTGAGATAAGAAAAGGGAAATATTCTACTGCACATTTTATGATACGGGTGTAACTTAATACCAAAATTAGCTACAGGCAAAATGGAAACAGAAAAGTATAGACCACTCACTCATGTACATAAATGCAAGAGTTCTAACAAAATATTAGCAAGCTAAATTTAGAACTATATAAAAAATGATGCGTCATGATTAATTTGAGCTCATCATAGGAATGCAAGATTGATTCTACACTAGAAAGTATATTAATTAATTTAACTACATTGACAGATTAAAGAGGACAATCCTATGTACCTAGATGGCACATCTCCTAAGTGAATAGTGCAATTTCTGCACCGCTTTTTAAAATAAAGTTGCTTGCCTTGGACTTCCTCACTCTTTTGCCCTTCCCTGGTCCAGAATGTGGACATGGTGGTAATCCAGAGAAAGGCAAAGCAATCAGAAAGCCAGCACGTAAGTTCAGGGAAAATGGAAGATTGGATGTTTGGGAGACATTTCAAGATTTATCCACTTGGTTCTCAACTTCCACCTTGTTTTACAGATGAAGAGAATGGGTGAAGAAGAATTAGTAAAAAATTTTATTTGCTATAGTCAAATATCCATTCTATGTATTTCAGGTATAGCCCAGAAACATGGGGTGAGGTGGGGTGGGTAGAGAATATCTGTGACAGCCAAGTGGACGTAACAATACTCCCCTTTCAAGGTTGTCATGAGAATTAAGATTAGGTGACATATGTAAACTATTAGCATAATGCCAGAGCTATACTAGGGCACAGCCACTAATGTTGGTTCTATTTCTTCTTTCTCTGTTCCCTATCCTCCTTCTCTTTCTTTCCTGAGGCTCACAATGCCCTCAGGCTGTCGTGGATTCCGCATTTCCATATCCTCACATTCCTCCTGAAGTCTGACTCACCAGACAGTTGTCAAGATTCTTCAATCTGGGCACCTGAAGTGGTACTACCTAATTCCTTCATTCAGCAGATATTTATTTAAATCTCATTATTATATGTCATATACTTTGCTGTAGATGGAGTGCTGTAGATGCAGTGAGCAAGATAAACACAACATTATATTAAAAACTTTGGCCCTCCAACTGCCTACTTAGAAATAACCTGAAGACTCTGTGAAAAGGCAGATTCCTGAGCCAAACTCTCCAAAAATTGATTCCAGAAAACAAGTAATGCCTGAGTAATCTCCAGTAAACAACTTATCTATTCTCATGTGCTCTAAAGTTTGGGAACTACTAAATAATGTGTTATTATATGGGTGTTCAATATTGAAAGGATGCTAACTGCTGATAAAGTTTAATAAACTTATCTTTTAGAGTGCTCTGCATTGTCTATCACTTAATCCAAATAAAGAAATTGCAAGTAGTGATAAGTCAGGCACCAGTGATAGACTAATGGGGAGAGGTTATAAGAGGAGCCTGCATGGAGCTCTCAGCATCATATCTCAGAATCAGATGCCAGCTTCGCCTGCTTCAAGAACAGGGACAGTGGAAAGGCATAGACCTAAAACAATGTTCCCGAGCTTTTTGGACTCAGGACCACTTTATACTCATAGAAATTATTGAGGACCTCCAAAGCTTTTGCTTACGTGGTAAACTACATCAGAAATTAAAACTGAATTTTTAAAAATTTATTTAAAACTAAGAATAAACACATAATATATTCACAAAAATAATGTATCTTTATAAATAACTAACTGTACAAGACTGACACAATAATGACAAGAAGGACATTAATTTACATATTTTCAAATAAAAATGGCTTAATAGAAAACAGCTAGGTTCTCCAGTCTGTTTCTGCATTCAGTCTGTTACCATCTAATACTGGAAACTCCACTGTACACTCATGAGAAAATGAAAAGAAAAAAAGGCAAAAAGCATTTTAGTATTACTAGGAAGTAGTTTTCACCTTGTGAACTTCCTGAAAAGGGTTAAGGAATCCCCCAGAGTTCCTGGGACCACATTTTGAGACCCATTAGCTTAAAAGATGAGAAGTTGCCTATGGATGCCTCCTCCCCACCAAGTGACACACTGTCTGGGAATAAAGAGGAGACTGGAAGAATAACTCTAAGAAAACTTCCATCACTGTACATTTTTCCCAATGCTGATCTTGGCTATGAGTCTCTTGGCCAGCTTTCGTTGACTCTCCATGTCAAGGGCAGTTATGGGATGGTACCGAGCATTCCAGGTATGACTGGAAGCTGGAATTCACCTCCTATTGTATACTCTACTCTTACACATATCTCAAGCTTTCAGTCAAAATAAAAGAAAGGTTAATCCTCCCAAGACACTTAGAGCTCCCTCATCTCCCAAGTGGCCACAGATACCCTTAAAAGTGGAGCCAGCCCCTCTCTGCCCAACATCTACTCACCAAAACCCACTTGTTCTATCCCACTGTCTTCAACCACATTTTTGACCAGGGTTTGCCTTTCTCCATCAACCTTTAGACTGATTGTTTGTTTGACTTAACTATTTTGCTCTAGATTTTACTCACTTCTACTCTGGATACCCCATTTAGTCCTTCCCTTAGTACCACTCCCTAGAGTGAGCTGCCATTTCTGACCCAATTCAATTCCAAGCCCAGAGTTCCGAAGCCTGGCTGGAGTCAGAGCACTGCTCTTTCCCTCCTCATCCTTGACTGGGCAATTGAAATAAAATTAGCATAACGGGGGATTCCGACCACCAGAAACTGTCAAAAAAAAAATTTTACTCTGAAAAAAAAGGTGATTTAGTCCTGTATTTAAACATTCATAACAACTTTCACAAAGTATTTCTCTGTTTGAAAAATAGATTTTCACATGTCACATTTTTAAAGTGTATTTTCCTCTCTCTAAGCATAAGATAGTTTTTAATGAATTGAACAGCTATTTTTTCTAATTAGCTACAAGTCTGCTTCCTTAAAATTGCATGTGAGCAAGTGAGTGGTAATGGATGGTGCTTGAGTGATCTTATAATGGCAACACGCCTTGACCTGGGAGGCCTAAGGCTGCTTTAGAGTCTCAGAGTTTCAGATGGAATGATCTGATATGAGGAAGATAGGGTGAAGCAACTGCTGTGGAGGCTGACTTAAATTAGACTGCAGAAGTTAAGAAAGAAATGTTCTGATTACTGGGAAGTATCTGCACTGTGGCATCACTGTCATATTTTTAACCAGTCATGACAGGTAGTTATTATATTTTAAGTTTCAAATTTCCTCAATTCCTATTATTGCTAAATCACACCTTAATAAAGTCTCTCAAGATGGGTTAGACAGGTGTGATCCAAAGAAATACACCATCAAAATGTAAGAGGTAAAAATTCTTTAGTCTTTGCCTCTACATAGAAAATAGCAAAACAATAAAAAAAAAAGCCACAAAATAACCACACCTCATCTGCTCTTTTGATCTCACTTGGCCACTGTACGTTAGAAACCTGTGAGGCAGAAAGTGGGAGTGGGGGGAAGGGGGGGTCTCTGTGTAACACTTAGAGAGATCTTGAACAGCTTCCTAAGCAAATGGTGACATAAAGTCCCCAGTGAGGTGAGCAGAGGAGCTACCAATTTCCCAGGGACAACCATCTTGAAAGAGAGCCTTCCTTCTTTAACTGACAGCATGGGGCGCTGGTAAGTTATGGTTTTGGTTACTTAAGCAAGCCAGGAGTCACTTGGAGTCCAACATTCAATCATAACTAGACTTTAGTGGAATTTATAACATAAAGAACTACAGGCAGGTTATCAATGCTCCTCTAACTACCCAATCATATTCAAACTTGGTGGCAATTTCTCGTAAGCAAATTTTGATATGTGTGATATGAGACTAATTGGGAAAGTTGGTAAATTTAGGATTGGTAGAAAGAAATGGATTTTTCACCCCTTCTAGTGACTCAGGGGCTCTTGGTTTAAGCAGTGTTTTCCCTTTATGGATTAATTTACATAAATCAGCAGGCAAGACCCTCTTTGAACAAATAATCTACAGGATGATGCAATCAAACAACAGTTGTCTCTATGATTCTGTACTTCTCCTCTTATCAAAGAAAAGGCAAAGCCTGCAGAAGACTCTCACTGGGAGGAGACAATTGCCGTAACTGAAAAGAGAATGCCAGACTGGAAGGGGTTTCCCGTGATTGAGTGAGGGTGAGGAGGAGGAGGACAGGAAAGGAGAGATAAAGCAGTAACAAGGCAGATGCACAGAGCCAAGGTCTTTAGAGGAATAGGTATCAGAAATGAGAAGGGGAATCAATGCTAGGAAAAGCAGTCATATACAGGGGGAACAGACCAGAGAGACCACTAGGAAGCTGCAGGTAAGGTTTCAGTGTTCTGCAACAGAAGGAGGACCAATGAAAGAATTAGGAGCCAGAGATAGGTACCTGAGGGTGGGGTTGATAAAGACAGAAACGGTAGGATGATTATCTGACTGCAGCCACCTGTTTTCTTTCCAACCCAGGCTCATTTTACATAGGCAGTACTCCTTAATTTCTACCTGGCAGAGAATTATTTTCAAAAAGAACTAACATAAATACAATACGTATATATTATATTACAAAAATATTACATATTCACATAGATAAATATAAAAAGCTTAGAAAAGAGAAGACAGAGATTTTCATCCAATATACTGAAGTCTTTTTAGGAAACATAAGATCGGCCAAATAAGAAAAAGAAGATCCTCCCAGCTCAGACCTACAGAGAGAATAATGATGAATGCTGGGGGCGAGGAAGCATCAACCATGTTATCTTTTCAAACTGAATGCTGCACACTCTGTTAAATGAAGGGGTGGAGGGGCAGATGTTGCTACACGGAACATATAGATGGCTTTAAGAAATTCTTATAGAGAAGAGTTTTATGAACAGGACTTCCCAAATGTTTAGCTTCTTTCTCCTCTCCCTACCCTGCTCTGATTATTTTTATTAGATTTTTAAATATCTATATGGAGTTTTTTAGTATTAGATTGCTCTGCTGTAATCTTCTACCATTCTCTACACTCAAAGACCCGAAAAAACCTCCAGTGCAAGTGAGAGAGAAATTGGTTTCATTACTTTTTTCTCAACCATCCTGTAAATCATCAGTGTAGGTAACTGCAGTAATTTCCAGCCTAGCATGTACCTTTTTCCTGTGTGATAGGATTAAAACCTAGTCTGTCATGCTACCCTGTTATAGTTTATAGATTGAATTTATCCCTTCACTATCTGCATTTGATTAAACACTATTTCCATTTTAGTTCTGACTAGATCTCTTTTCCTTTGCTATCTCACAAGGGATTTTGCAACACAACTCTTTTTTATTGTTGGGTAAGTATAGGGTTATTTCTGGAATGTAGCATGCTATAGAACTTATAATTTTTATGTGTTATATATTTCTAACTTCTTTTAAAAAATGGATATCTCCCTTGTTTTATGATAAAAATAGAAGTTTTGGGAAAAAATGAGAAAATGATTTGTTTGATCTCTTTAAATGACTTGAGAAGGTTTTAAATTGTGCCAAAAGGCCAGGTGCGGTGGCTCATGCTTGTAATCCCAGCACTTTGGGAGGCCAGGGCAGATGGATCACGAGGTCAAGAGATTGAGACCATCCTGGCCAACATGGTGAAACCTGTCTCTACTAAAAGTACAAAAATTAGCTGGGTGTGGGGGCATGTGCCTGTAGTCCCTGCTATTCGGGAGGCTGAGGCAGGAGAATCTCTTGAACCCAGGAGGTGGAGGTTGCAGTGAGCCAAGATCGTGCCACTGCACTCCAGCCTGGCAACAGAGCGAGACTCCATCTCAAAAAAAATTTAAAAAAAAATTGTGCCAATAAATCTTCCTTTCCTAATGTTCAGCATCAATCTGAAAAACAATATTATGATGCAGAAATAGGAACTTTCGGATTGATCCCTGAATGCAGGTTAGGTGAGTTTGGAATAACCATGCTACATTTCCCACTTAATATTAAAAAATATATATTTGTTTTGACTATTCCAGAATCCTATTTATAGAAATCAAAGTTAAGAATACCATTCAAATGAATTGGCCCCTCTTTTAAGAGGCAGGAAAATGTCCCAGTTGGCAATGCTGTTAGTGTCGATATCAATACTTCCAAAATGAAAACAATGGCAGAGCTGGGAAAAGAGGTCTCTTCAGCATTAGGCAGCATAACAGGAGGCCAGAATGAATCCTGTTTCCCTTTTTCATGTTTCTCTTGACTCTTTTGCACCTTTATAAAATGTCTTTGAAATACACTGTGGGATCAAATGTGTATCTCTCATGTTTACCATGCCTTATTTCAAAAGCCCAACTCCCTGTTTTGAAACATCTCCCTTCAAATAACACCTCCTCTTCTAAACAGCCCAGGAAATGTACACTATGCATAGGCAAGATCCCCTCCATCTCTGCTTCACTCTATTCTACTCAGATATGCTCATATCCCCAAAGCACTTAATATAAGGCTGTAGAAATGCAAGTTGTCTGGAAAGAGAAAAGTGCACAACAATCCTTAAATCTTTACATTTCAGAGGAAGACAATACATTTTGCAATAGTTTCTATTTTCATTAGCCATAAAATTTTCCAAAAAATAGAAAAACCAGAAGATGTGGATGTATGCCTCATTTTGGTCACCAGGAAACTAGCAGGAGCCTTCATCATAAATTCTTTAAGAGGGATAGCCTATTCTCTAAATAATGTGCCTAGTCTACGGGGAATTTTGCTCCAGTGTTGCTCATCATAACTTTCTCTGAGTGTGAAGGTCCTATTTGTCTTTCGTTTCCATTACATTGACCCTGTTCCACTAGAAACAATGGCCTAAGTACTGTTCCAGACACCAGAGCTGAAAACGTGTCTATTTTTCCCTTTGGTGAAGGTTTGATGGGGCCTCTCACAGTCAACTTTGGATATGTAAAATTGGATATGCCTATTAAATGTCAACTGGATGTGTTGAGGTAGCTGGATACCTTCTTGTATGGCAAAAATATTCATTCATGTATAATTCTTGCATTAAATATTTGCTAATCATCTACCACAAGCCAAGTAACATTTTAAACATTCTTCTGCTCTTGTAGAGGTTTAAATTCTAGGGGGATATCTAAAGTGCCCATCTCTTCCCTGTTTGTCCAGGACATCCACCAGTTTTAAAACTCAAAGTTCTGTGTTCTGGGCCCTCCCTTAGTCCTGGGCAAATTAAGATGGTCATCCTAGAGAGAATTTGTTTATCAACAGGACTTTTATAGAAAACAAGTCTTAAAACTCTGGTAGGGGAGCTCAGGAAGTCTTTTTCAGTAATAGTTTAAATTGATTGTTGTGGGAAAATCTCATAGGTACTGGCCCATGTGTACAAACCTCACTCTATAAAGAACACTGGCTTCCTTTAAACCCTAACTTTGTACCTGGCACTCACGGAGGGCTTGAGATAAAAATTTTTATTTTTATTTTTTTGAGATGAAGTATCACTCTTGTTGCCCAGGCTAGAGTGCAATGGCACGATCTCAGCTCACAGCAACCTCCGCCTCTCGGGTTCAAGCCATTCTCCTGCCTCAGCCTCTGCAGTAGCTGGGATTACAGGCATGTGCCACCATGCCCGGCTGATTTTGTATTTTTAGTAGAGATGGGGTTTCTCCATGTTGGTCAGGTTGGTCTTGAACCCCCAACCTCAGGTGATCTGCCCACCTCGGCCTCCCAAAGTGCTGGGATTACAGGTGTGAGCCACCATGCCCAGCTGAGATAAAATTTTAAATAAGAAAATTTCCTTTAAGTTCATCCTCTTAATCATCTTTTTACCTCCTTAAGTACATAATATTCCCACACCTCCATCTTTCCCAAGGCACCACCGTTTGGCCCCACAAGCCTCATTACTCTCCTCTAAGCCTTTGAACACAAAAGCTTTCTCCCTCCACATGGCAGCCTACTATCAATTCTTCCAGGCTCACATCATCTATTGCATCATTAGTGATGCCTTCTCCATTTCAGCGCACTCAAATGAATACCTATCTACATTCTGTTTTCATGGCAGTTTTTACTAGCTTTTATCAGAGTGGTGATTATACTTAAACATAATCATGTGTTTCTATATCTACTTCTAATATGTGAGTTCCTTCAGGCAGGAAAAATATATCCTTTACCTCTGTCTCCCCACCTGTATATAGAAAGTGTTTTGGACTTCTGTTTTCAAAAATGTGAAAACTGAACTGCCTAAAAGGCACCTGGAAAATGTTAAATAAACTATTACAGGCAGTATTTTAAATGCACGTTTCAGTTGTCAAGAAAGTAAGAGAAGTCCTCAGGGATCGGAAACAAAGAAGAAACTGAAAGAGTGGGAAGTGTGAAATAACACTGGGGTTATCGAGTCTCTCAGCCTCAGAAACCAAAGATTTTTAGGTTTCAATGGCCACTTAGGGACAGAAAAATCGGCCTTGGTTTTGAGCAATGTGGGGAGTTGGAACTGATATGCCTGAAAAGTTTCTCAACCCTTGAAGCGTTATAACTTCATGAAAAGGTGGAAAAGAAAATTCATCCACCACCAATAGTTGAGGTATGAGAAGCCTGTCTGTTTAAACAGTGCAGTTGGTCATAAAAAGCATATATAGGCCTCTCTTGAGAATTAAAATTGTAGGCCTGTTCTTACCCAATTTTAACATATGCATTTATATTACCTATGGGATCTAGGAATCCCCAAACCAATAAATTAATCAAAAGAAACTTGTTACTTCTCTGACTTTATCTTTCCTCACTTAGTAATTTATCTTTATTTTTCCTCACTTAGACAGCATCCATGCTGTCTTCTTGCCTATTGCTCGAAAATACCAGCCATATTTGTTCTCTTCTCTCTCTTCTCATTCTCTTCTCTGTCTTGAATTTCTTTTCTGTATATGTGTACTGAAAATTTCCTTGCCCAATAAAACCTTTGCTAAAATGTCAGCTTCTCAATGAAGTCTTCTCTCACCACTCAATTTAAAATTGCAACCTATCCACTCCTTCTAATCTCCTAATCCTCATTCACTTTTTGCTGTTGTCCAAAAGACTTATCACCTTCTAAATAAAAAAAAAAAAAACTTACTTATTATCCACCCTCACTAGAACTTACCTAATACCCTCCACCCCACTAGATTGTGAGCTCAAGGAGGGCAGGAATTTTGTCTTTTATATTTGCTTATATATCTCAATCAACTGGAAAAGTGCCTTGTACATAACAGGTTCTCAGTATAAACATTTTAGTCAATGGAATGAAAGAATTGATAATAAGAGAATCCAGCAGAACCCAGTGTAAACCTTCTCTGAAGAATAAGACTCAAGTCTGACCTACAGGATTCACATGAATAAAGCCTCTTTGGACTAGTTGAAAATAAAATAAATTATAAATTAAATGAACAAATGACAACTGACCCCACATAGACCAGGTATAGATACTCTTATGTACTTCAGATAATGGAATCACTGGATACAGATATAAAACAAGCATGCTTATTGATTGAAGATATAAAATAAGGTCTTAATGGAAAAAGAATTGACATATTTTAAAAATAACTAAATGGTGATATAGAAAATGTATGACAAAATACCTAAACAGAGGAAAAACAGAAACACAAAGAGGAGGAAAATATGCCAGAGGTTTAGACTGACACAGTTAACAGAAATAAAAGTCCTAGGGCCGGGTGCAGTGGATCATGCCTGTAATCCCGGCACTTTGGGAAGCTAAGGCAGTTGGATTCCTTGAGGTCAGGAGTTCAAGAAATAAAAGTCTTAGTATTTGAATAAAGATAATTTCAGAAGGATGGAGCAGAGAAAATTTGGGAGCAGCACTTCTTGTAAAAATAATTGCAAGTTTTCTGGTGTTGATGAACTCAGATTCATGAAGCACAAAAAATGACAACCAGAAAAAACAGAACTAATCTATATCTAGACCCATCGACTGACATTGCACACCACCACTGACATAAAATTTATAAAAACAACCAGACTTCCAAAAAAGAGTAATAAATTGAGATAGTATTCTTCTTTCTAAATGGCAATATTAGAAGCCAAAAGATCATGGAATATTTTTAAAGTGTTAAAGAGAAAGTAATTATCAATCTGATTTAAAAGCAGAAAAACTATAACATATTTTTAAATGAGTAGAAATAAATACATTTTAAAATCAACCAAAGCTAAGAAAGAGTGATACTAACAGTTGTTTCTGAGTAACCCTCCAAAAGATATAATTAGAGAAACAGGATATTGAATCTATAAGTAAAATTTGAGGTACAAACTAGAATGATGAGCTAAGGAACAGTTTTTTTCAAAAATCCAAACCTCAAAAATACAATATAATTATTTTAAGACTAATGTTGACAGTATACAAGCAAGTGAAACTAAAATTCTGGTATTAAATTCTGGAGAACCTATGATCATCTCAATAGACTCAGAAAAGCATTTATGGAAATTCAATACTATTCTTGACAAAAATTCTCAACAAACTAGGACTAAAAGGGAATTTTGTTGATCTGATAACATGTTGTTAAGTTTTTATATCTCAATATATTAATATACTGAATGCATACACACATTTTCTGAAACACAGCAGATTATTATTTACTTACAGCAAATAAAATTATACGAGTTCCTATTGACTTAATTTTTATGTCCAAGGTGAAGCAATGATAATAAATCCTGTACATGTTAAAGTTTATTATAAGCAAGGAACCAAAAAAAAAAAAAGGGGAGGGCCTCACTATGTTGCCTAGGCTGAGTTTGAGGTCGGCCTGGGCAACACTGTGAGACCCTGTCTCAAAAAAAAAAATTAAAAAGCAAAAATTAAATTGCTATTATTCACAATTCATGAGACTCTATAAAAACTTATTATAGTTTTATCTTTTTTTTGAGTCAGGGTCTCGCTCTGTCAGATAGGCTGGAGTGCAGTGGCACAATCTCGGCTCACTGCAACCTCCACCCCCCCAGGTTCAAGTGATTCTCTTGCCTCAGCCTCCCAAGTAGCTGGAATTACAGGTGTGCACCATCAAGCCCAGCTAATTTTTGTATTTTATTTTAGTAGAGATGGGGTTTCTCCATGTTGGCCAGGCTGGTCTTGAACTCCTGACCTCAAGTTATCCACTCTCCTCAGCCTCCCATAGTGCTAGAATTACAGGCATGAGCCACCACTCCCAGGCCCAAGACTTATTAGAGTATTAAGAGCTTAGCAAAAATACTAGGCAATAATATGAATTTATAAAACTCAACTAAATTCTTACATATCATATGTAATTATAAAATATAATTTTATAAAGATAGAATGACAGTATAAATAGAAATATGAGGCAAACAAAAATAATACTAATAAAAGGTGTATTAGACTTTCATGTAGAAATGTAGACTATTCTTTGGGAATACTTTTTAAAAGACCTAGATAAATGGAGAGATAAAACAGGAATCTGGAAGTTGCAGTAACATAAAAATGTCAATCTTCTGCAAATTATTCTACATGTTCAATATAATTCCAATCAAAATATCAGCAGGTTTTATTGGAAATTATAAACAGTTTCAGAGATTTAAATGGAAAACCAAATGGGCAAGAATAACCAAGACAATTTTAAAGAGCTACATGGTTGGAACTCACTCCGACAGATATCAAGAGTTAATATAAAGGTATAAGAGGACAATGTATCATTGATCTAAGGATAGGCAGGAGAACTGATATGTATATAAGTAGCGTTACAAATCAGCATGGAAATGATCATTTATTTTATAAATCCTGCTGTAATAATTGGTTATACATAAATTAAAAACTGGATTCTTAACCTCACAACATAAATACAATTTAATCCCATATGTATTAAATTCCTAAGTGTGAAAGCCAAAAGGTTAAAACTTTTCATAAAAAGAGGTGAGTGAATATCTTCAAAACCTTGAAACAGGGAAAAATCACTTAAATAAGACCAAAAAGCACAAAACACTCAGGGAAAAAAAAATGGACAAGTTCAACTACATGAAACTTATATAAAACAAAAATCACTATAAACAAGTTTATTAAACAAGCCACATTTGAGTAGAAATTATTTACAATGCCCACTACCAAGAAGAAATGAATATTTAGGATACATAGAAAAAAACTCTCACAAGTACAAAAATATAAGAAGCCAAAACACAGAAAAAAAAAAAAAACAAAAAAACTCAGCCTCATTATTAACCAGCATAGTGCAAAATTTAAAGACATACAATTTAACAAACATCATATTCACAAAAATTTTAAATTCTTGTCATAATAATGTTGGGGAGGATGTGAAGTAGCTGGTACTGAGAAGTAAATGAAGTGTGTGCATGTGAGAATCAGACTGAGTTGAAACCCTGGCTTTGCCACTTTCTAGCTGGAGGACCTCGGACATGTTACTTGATCTCTCTGTGCCTCCAACTTTTTATCTTTAAAGCAAGGATAACCATACCAGCACTTCAATGTGTAAGATGATTGTGAAAACAAATGAGCTAATGTGCATAAAATAATTAGTGCAATGTCTGACATGTAATGATCACATAAGGATTGGTTTGTGAGAGTGAATCTTGGTACAGCCATATCGGAGAGAAATTTGTTAACATATAATAGAATGAAAAAAAAAACTCAAAATGCAGCATTCAACATCTAGGTGTAGGCCCTATGAACCTTGTCATCTCCTCATCTGTAACTGACCTTGACAAGAGGGCCTCTGACTTTTCTGGGTTTTTTACCTCCTAGTTCTCACTGGTACTTTTCTGGACATTTTAATCTAGCTGCTAACTAATCAATATCAAAGAATTACCTTAAAGTTGACCAATCAAAGCTCATGGAGAGATTACAAATTAAGCACAATAAATAATCTCATCAATTTGATGAAAGGATGAGTCCATATCCTGCTATCTATGGCAATTATCTGAAAAACACATTTAATTGGTCAGCATGCCTGGGTTTCAGTCTTGGCTGCACTTTCTAACTAGTGGAGCTTTGAGAAGTCATTTTACTTCTCTGAGATTCAGTATCTTCTTCTATTAAATTATATGACTTCTAGTAATTTCCAGTTTGAACATTAAATTCTTGGAGCCAAGAGAATGTCCTTCTAGTATTACTAATGCTTTTCTGTTGAGTTGAGGAGAAGTTGTCATCATCCTCAATATTAACCCCTCAAGTAACCTTTCCAGAGGTTCCACAAAATGGTCCATGGTACAGAAATATCTCTAAGAGCTCTAAAAATCTCAAGCCTTTTTATATACCCCCATTTTCCAATGTGGAAAACAGCATTCAAAGCTTCAAGGAATCATAATTTACTGTGGAAACTGGCAAACCCCACTGTCCAGTGGATACTAAAAGACAAGTTGCATTGTATGAAAAAGAAAATTCAAAGGACTGCTACCTGGAAAAAAAAATCCATAAAATGTTACATATCTGAAGACAGAATCCCAACACCTTTCTTTCATAACTGTTTAAGAGAAAAAAAAATCACGAAGGAACTCACAGCAGGTTTTCAAATTCCAATTAGATTTGAGTATCATGGTTAAAGTGACAGGCTCAGAGAACATGGAGACATAAAACAGTACAGTCTTTGAGCAAGATTTGGTATCATCTCACCCAGGTAAAAACTTTTCCCTCTGTGAAAAGCTTCCAGTTTAAGACCTTAAGTAGGAAAGCTAGAGGGAGCTATAAATAAATGGTATTCTCCAGTAGGATGATTCTTAAGATACGTTGCTTCATTTTAAGTTAGAATTTCTATTTAATAAAAGTATATTCTGATATAATTTTATCTATTGAAAATAGCAGTGGTTTTACCTTTAATCTGGTAACTGCCTGGAGCATTTGCTTGTTGTTGTATTGGATGCTTGATTTCTGGAGGTGTCTAAAACAGAAAAAAAACACCACCTGGAAAAAAATTTGTGATTGTGTGTGTGTGTGTATTACATTGATTATATTTGCTAATCATTTAGCCCAGTTCTTTCTTTGTGTTCTTTAACTGTGTTCTACCTCTGAAAGAAGCTTTGCCAGGAAAGGAAAAATGTGACTCATATCTCTGTGAAAATTGGTGATCATCCTCTAAGAGGCTCAGATACTCTGACTTAAGCCTTCCCAATCAAAACACCAGGGAGTCACAACTTTGCTATGCGAGTATTATGCTATAACGGTGTTGTGTTGGCATTCACTGAATAAGGAAGTACTTAGTGAAATGGAAAATTAGGGAACTGTACATCACAAAAGAATTTTGTCAGTGTTCCAAAATGTATTTCTTCATTCTATCTGCAGAGCATAGTATGGAGTTGCTCAAGAAATCACTATTTATCACAGGACATTGGTCCTCCAGAGGGGATGGATGTCCCTTATCTAATTTTACTAATTAGCAGGTAAGAAATAGGAAGTTCATATTCTATTATTCAGCTGTGTGACAACTACAGCCCCTGGGAGTCTAATGTGCAAGAATGTGATCTGACTTTTTCCTTGGCTTTCACGTCAAAATGAGGAACAGTCCTTCACATACTGGCTCCTATCCTCACTATAATTCACCTGGTGCAAGTCACAGACTACCAATATCTACATGGATTACAAAGTCAGGTAAACTGAAGGTAATTAAGAAATGTGATACTCTGTTATTACAACTGTTTTTATAGCATAATATCTCCTGCAAAAATTACTTTTAAGGCAGTCTCACTGTGCTCATGCATTCTTTTCCTAAATAAAGAACAGATGTAATTTACTGTGTGTGTGCATGTGCGTGCGTGTGTGTGTGTGTGTGTGTATAAAGATTCTACTTTGTGGCTGGGCGAGTTGGCTCATGCCTGTAATCCCAGCACTTTGGGAGGCCAAGGCAGGCAGATCACGAGGTCAAAAGATCAAGACCATCCTGGACAACATGATGAAATCCTGTCTCTACTAAAAACACAAAAATTAGCTGGGTGTGGTGGTGCATGCCTGTAATCCCAGCTACTCGGGAGGCTGAGGCAGGGCTATTGCTTGAACCAGGGAGTTGGAGGTTGCAGTGAGCCAAGATCACGCCACTGCACTCCAGCCTGACGGCTGAGTGAGACTCCGTCTTAAAAAATATAAGATTCTACTTTGTGTGAGGCACTGTGCTAGTAAACATGATAGATACATTCCCTGCCTTCATGAATTATGCAGGCTAGCGGCCATAAAGAGGAAGATTTAGGAGTACGGAAAGAACCTACTCTCTTCTGAACACAGAGGGACATGTGAAATGTCTCCCTATGCACAAAAACATTTTGGGCTGCACTTGTTCCTAATAGTATGTTTCTGTAAAGGTAATATGACCTTACTTAAAATTTTCTTTCTTCTCAAAGGAGAAACAGTGGGTTTAAGTGGGGAAAATCTCTCCATAATCCGAAACCAAGATATCAAAAGAAATGACAGGAAATTATATTTTTAAGGAAAATAAGTCATTCTAACAAAAGGACACATGCTCCCATATGCTCATCACAGCACCATTCACAATAGCAGATATGGAATCAACCCAGGTGCCCATCAACTCTGGATTCAATAAAGAAAATATGGATACATTTACACCATGGACTACTATGCAGTCACAAAAAGGAAGAGAATCGTGTTCTTTGAAGCAACATGGATGCAGCTGGAGGCCATTATTCTAAGCAAACTCACACAAACAGAAAACCAAATACCACATGTACTCTCTGAAGTGGGAGCTACATATTAAGTATACATGGACATAGAGAACAACAGATACTGGGGAACAAAAGAGAAGGGAGCAAGTAATGGGGCAGGACTGAAAAACTACCTATTGGGTACTGTACTCATTACCTGGGTGATAGATTCATTCATACTCCAAACCTCAGCATCACACAATGTATCTTTGTAATATACCTGCACATGCACCCCCTGAACCTGTAATAAAAGTTGAAAAATTAAAAAATAAACAATAATGTGTATTTTACTTAATCAAGATACAATATATTTGACATGTCAAGGGGTACTAGTGAGTAAAGGATTTTTCCAAAAAGCAAATAATTTTTCTTTTTCTTTGTATTATGAACATCTCTGTATTGCAAGTGAAAAGACAGCAAACGACAAGAAGAAACTTGGTAGAACACATCACTATGGGAAAGATGACTCTTTTTTTAGCTCGAAGCAATTTTGGCTTCAGAGAATGCAGAGAATACCAATGACTTCTTAATGTGCTCAAACAGAATTAGATAATTTGAGTTGGTAGTCTGTTCTGTCTTCTTAAATTCCTCTCTGTAGTCCCTTATAGATACACAAAGAATTTCTCTTTATTAATTATGTATCTAGAATTATATGTTTCTCTTCTGACAAATTTAATTTTTCTTTAGACCAAAATATGGTCAGAATATATTTTTCTAATAAGTTTTTTAAACCTTATGAATGAATATATTTTATGCTTTAGACTAGATTAGCCTTTTCAATACAGGAAAGTAATTTAAAATTTTAGAATTCACTCATTTTTTTCTCTCTGGAAATCATTTACTTGAAAGGAATTTTGTAAAGCTTGTCTTTCTTATTTGACACAATAAAGATCACAGTGAAATGGTATTTGTCATTCACATAATGCAGCCCAAGAAAGTGAAAATTGAGAAAATCATAACACTGGTTCTCAAAATTATAGAGAAGAAGAAATTGACATAATACCTCTACAGAAATATTTGTTGCCAAATTACTTTTGTTTGCTTTACTGTTGATTTAAGAATTATTCAAGAAAAAATAGCTTTAAAAGTTGTTTATCTTATTTGCTTTTTGAATTCACACGTAACTAATAGCATATGCTATTTTAACACTGAGACATCCTATAAAAATTATGATCCGATGATTTTTTTTTTCTTTTGAGATGGAGTCTCACTCTTGTTGCCCAGGCTGGAGCACAGCGGCACAATCTCGTCTCAAGGCAAACTCCGCCTCCCGGATTCAAGCGATTCTCCTGCCTCAGCCTCCCGAGTAGCTGGGATTACAGGCACCTGCCACTACACCAGGCTAATTTTTGTATTTTTAGTAGAGATGGGGTTTCACCACGTTGGCCAGGCTGGTCTCAAACTCCTGACCTCAGGTGATCCTCCCACTTCAGCCTCCCAAAGTGGATCCTATGAATTTTAACAGCCATGTTTATATTTTAAAATGCTCAAAACATTATTGTTTATAACTTCAGTCATTATTTTAATGAATTCCAAAACACACATGTATAGGGTCAGGTTAAGAAGGTGAAATCCATACCCTGGAAGAGGATCCAGAGAAATAATCATGCACAATATATTTAGTGCTTAAATATATGTACTTTTGCACTATTGTAAGGATTTTATATGCTTTATCTCAGGTAAACCTTATAAAAACCCCAAGAGGTACATAATATTATCATCCCCTTCACAGATGAGTAAACTGATGCTTGGAAAAGTGGTTACGTTGGCCAAAGTCAGGCAGTTAGCATATGGCAGTGCTGAACTCCAGATCTACCTAACTCCAAGTTTCCTGTTCTTAATCTCTTCCTAGACTGCTCTGGTGATTTGTTCATAGAAAACTGTCTACCTCTGAATATTTTCTACAAATCTTCTCTTTGGACGTTTTGCAGAATAGAAGATTTTATTTTTATTCTTATTTTTTTTGAGACAGAGTCTCGCTGTGTCACCCAGGCTGGAGTGCAATGGTGCGATCTCGGCTCACTGCAACATCTGCCTCCCAGGTTCGAGCGATTCTCCTGACTCAGCCTCCTGAGAAGCTGGGATTACTGGGGCCCACCACCATGCCCGGCTAATTTTTGTAATTTTAGTAGAGATGGGGTTTCGCCATGTTGGCCAGCTGGTCTCAAACTACTGACCTCAGGTGATCCGCCTGCCTCAGCCTCCCAAAGTGCTGGGATTACAAGCAGGAGCCACCGTGCCCAGCCTGAAGACCCTCTTGCTGTTGCATTATGAGAAGATGAGTGGCGCTAAATGATACATAAGAAATGTATATGACTATCTGGCAAAAATAGAGTTTTACCTTGAAATTCCATGATCTCTCCTTTCCTCATTAACTTGCCTAAATTCTCCCATGCCTTCTCAAACAAAACACTTCCAAAAAGCTATGTATAGGTTGGATCAAAATAAATATGCTGAAGTTCTAACCCCAAGTACCTGTAAATACAAGTGAATATAACCTCATTTGGAAATAGGATCTTTGCAGACAAAGTTAAGACAAGTTAAGGTCCTTAGGGTGGGCCATAATCCAGTATGACTAGTGTCCTTGTAAGAAGAGGGAAATGTGAGCAGAGACACATAGAGTAAAATGCCATGTGAAGATACAGACATAGAGAAGACAGCTATGTGAACATAGGACAAAGATTAAAGTTATGCTGCCACAAACAAAGGAACATGTGAGGCCATCAGGAGGTGGAAGATATGAGAAAGAATCCATCCCTAGAGGGTTTGGAGAATGCACGGCTCTCCCAACACCTTGATTTAGGATTTCTAGCCTCCAGAATTGTGAAAGAATACATTCTTGTTTTAACCATCTAGTGTGTGGTAATTTGTTACAGCAGCTCCTGGAAACAAATATAAAATGTAAGGAAGAAAATGGTACAAATGGTGTGTTTTGCAACATCCCTCTTTCCCCTATTAGAGCTGAGTCTTACTTTTCACTGGTTAATTCAGAGCAGCATTTGATTGAGATTAACTTTATCTCCAGCTCTCATGGTTGAAGAATATGATTCTATTATGTATGTATAACATAAAATGCAAGTCCACTTGAAAAACACCATTATTTGCATTGAAGAGATTTTGCGTATCATCTTACGACATATTATCTCCAAAGAAGGAAGAGAAATAGAGAAATTGCATGAATGTTTGCAATGTAGCAATATCATCACATCCTATCCCCTACCTCCCAGCATTTTTGGCATTTCCAGCCCTGATTCAGCAATGTCAAATTATTCCCTGTCAAAAGATTGGGTTATCCTATCCCTAGACAGCTAATTCCAGCAAATTATTATGATCCAAATTCAAAGCTCTCCAGAGATTCCTGTGCCATTGAGATCAGTCTATCAGAGGCACAGCTAAAGTTAGAGTTAAGTGCTCAGATATCCATACCACTGGCTAAGACCACTGACGCAAATTCTTCATTTTCTCCTTGCCGCCCTTGGTGAGGAGGAGAAAAGTTGGGTTGGTAATTGAGGAAGTTTATATGAAATAATTTACCTTGTTAATTACTTTATACTTTTTGTATTTTGTGGGCATGTTTCATTTAGCTCAACAGAACAGTATTATTTCAATTTTGCAAATGAAGAAACTGAGGCAGGGAGGAGCTATGTGATTTGCCCGAGGTATCTAATGCAAGATTGAGGAGTAGCTATGAGGTGTCCTGAATCCTACTCAACTATATTTTCCTGCTGCGGAGTCTCATGCACATATTAGTTCTCGTTAACTCCTTGAGAAATACAATTTTTCAAGGATAACATATATTCTGAAATACTTTATTTTAGTGAGAAAAGGAGAGAAAAAGAGTCCTGGCTTTTTTAAAAAACCTCCTAACTCCACTGCCTCCCTCATTGTCCTTGCAGCATAGTGTAGTGGTAAATAAGACAGATTTATTCAAATTCCGCCTCTGTCACTTACCAGCTGAATGGACTGGAGCAGGTTGCTGCACCTCTTGAAGCTGAGGGCTGCTGGGAAAATAGATTGCACTGATGCATGTAAAGTGCTTAGCGCAAGTTGTGGCATATCATGAGCACTCAGGGAGAGAGGGGCTGCCATTGCCCTTCAATCTGTATCCAGATTTTCAGATTTGCAACTGGCTTCAAAGCACAGGTGATGAAACCTAGGCCCACCCATGCAGGTGACATGCTTTGACAACATCACACTGGAAGCTGATCATGTGGTCTGGAGGAGAATCTCTCAGGACACAAAGTCCAGTGTTTGTTTTCTTCCACTGAACTACAAGCCTCTTTGAGACACTCAAATAAACATGATATACAACAAAAAGTTTTCTGTGAACATTAATGCAACATACAGTCATCCTAAGTCACCCCTTCTTTGCCTCTGGAAACGTGAGCCTTTTCTCTATAAATATTATTCACTTTAAAATAATTTTATTCTTTTAATTTTGACCTTTCTAATGTCATTCGACACTTGAAGCATCATCTTTGAAGAAGCATCATAAAGAATGTCATTTTATGGCCAGGAGCAGTGGCGCATGCCTGTAATCCTAGCACTTTGGGAGGCCAAGGTGGGCGGATCACCTGAGGTCAGGAGTTCAAGACCAGCCTGGCCAACATGGTGAAACCCTGTCTCTACTTAAAAAATACAAAAATTAGCTGGGCATGGCGGTGGGTGCCTGTAATCTCAGCTACTTGGGAGGTTGAGGCAGGAGAATTGCTTGAACTGGGGAGGTGGAGGTTGCAGTGATCCAAGAAGGCGCCATTGCACTCCAGCCTGGGCAGCAAGAGCAAAATTCTGTCTCAAAAAAAAAAAAAGTCATTTTATTCAGTTTGGTATTTCTCTTAATGAATATGCATTAGCTTTATTAAAAAAGTGTCTCTTCGTAGTAAGAAAGGTCAAATAAGCAAAAAAAATGACATAAAATAAACTATAAGATCAATATGCATTTCATTAAAAACCCACTAGTTCTTGGTATTAAGCTATACGCAATGTGTTAAGTACAGGAGATCTGGCCTTTCAGTTTCTGAGTTGTGTATAGATAGTTTTCACCACTTTTGAGATGACCAACATGATTTTAAGAAGGCAGAGCAGTTCTAGAGGTTCTTAGGAAAGATTCAGGTGTGAGGACATCTTTCTCTGAGTAGCTCCCAGCCAACACCTGGCATTCCCTGTTCTCAGCTACTCCCAAGTGGTATGTCCTCAAGGACAGTGGGATGGAAGCCTGGCTCAGCTGCAAAAGGGCTCTTTCAAACCTGGAACATGCCAGACACTTTCCCTGTCCTCTGTAGCTATGCAAATAGCACCAGCCCCTTCACCGTAGAAGAGTTGACAATTTAGTCTCCAAGAATGTTCTGCATACAAGTAAACACATTCAGCAGGTAAAACACATTGGAAGCAAATCTCTTACATGACTTGTATGTTGTCCAACAATTTGACATAAACACAAAATTTTCCAAGAATACTTAATAAACGCAATACATGCACGCTGTCTTAAAAGAAGCAGTAGCATCCTTTAACTGAGGAGCCTTCCTTAATTTATTCTATCATGATAATTGGGGACAAGGAGATAATATGATCTGGAGGATGTGAGGGGGTAGTGCTGCCAAAAATACACAGATTTTTAAAAAATGTTTAGAGTCAGTAGAGAGGAAAGGACGTAATCAGAGTTAAATAATCAGAGCCACAATGATTTTAAATGATTATGCTTTCATTTTTAATAGGCACTGATTCATTCAAAGATTTTTATTGAGTGTCTGCTCTGTCCAAGGCACTAAGTTAGGCGCAGTGTTAGATAAATCATGTCTTTCCCCTCAGTGAGCTTGTAATCTGAAAGAGTACACAAGAGTACATAGGTCAGGTGCTGGTGGGAGGATTGCTCAAGCCCAGGAGTTCAAATCATAGCTCAAGCCCAGGAGTTCAAGTTCATAGTTCATAGAGAACTATGAACATGCCACTGCGCTCCAGCCCAGGTGACAGAGCATACATAGAACCTGTCACTACCAAAAAAAAAAAAAAAAAGTGTACACAAAACTTCATATAGGAATATGTTGATTAAGAACCAGAGGAGGCTGGGCGCGGTGGCTCACACCTGTAATCCCAGCACTCTGGGAGGCCGAGGAGGGCGGATCACGAGGTCAGGAGATTGAGACCATCCTGGCTAACACAGTGAAACCCTGTCTCTACTAAAAATACAAAAAATTAGCAGGGCGTGGTGGTGGGCACCTGTAGACCCAGCTACTCGGGAGGCTGAGGCAGGAAAATGGTGTGAACCCAGGAACTGGTTCAAAAAAAAAAAAAAAAAAAGAGAACCAAAGGAGGTGATCTTCAAACTTTATTAAGAGGCCAGAGTTTAACTTTTGGATAATAAAGGAAAGAACAATACAGGTAGAAAGATATAAGATCAACAGCTACAAAAAAAGCATTGAGGTATAAAAACTTAAGGAAAGAAAACAACATTGATTTAGATAAATAATGTACCTAAGGGGTTTTAGAAGAAAATGGGTTAAAAGGAAGTGGCTTCTGAGGAGGGAGAACATTCACATCAGTCTGATTTTATTTGGAAGACAGTGATGAAATGTTTAAGTCATTTAAGCAATGGAATAACACAATCAGAGCTTTGCACAGCATAATTTTTAAAGACTGCATAAGGTGAATAATATGTTCAACAGACTAACAGAAATGAATCCATCAGAGGGCTGTTGGGCTAGCCCAGTAAAGATGGTATTAAAAAACAGAGTGTTATGTGTGTTATGGTCCACAGGGACCTGAAAACCATCCTCGTCCGTGGGACAGTGGTGTACAGGATGGGCAAAAGATGGCAGAGAAGCCAAGGATGGCCCTTTCACTTTAAGTCTGGGTAACTGAAAGGATGATGGGACCACAACCAGAAAGGGGTAACTCAAGTTTAGCAGGAAGATGATGGACTTCATATACTGGATGTGATGCTCCCATAGGAAACCTTGGTGATGATGTTGAGAATAGAGTAAGAAATACAGAGCTGGAGCTGGATAGATAGATCATGATTTGGAAGTTACTTATGCAATTGTGATAGAAGAAGAATTCAAAAGAAGGGAACAGATTGCCAAAGACACCTTGAAAAAGGAGAAGATGTGGAAGGCAGGTCTCTGGTGTATTAGTTTGCTAGGGCTGCCATAATAAATTACCACAAACCTTGTCGCTTCAAACAACAGAAATTTATTCTCTCATAGTACTGGAGACTACAAGTCTGAAATCAAGAGGTCAGCAGGGTCATGCTCCCTCCAAGGACTCTAAGGAAGAATCTATCCCTTACTAATTTGTGAATCCATCCTTCTCTAATCATGCTAAATGAAATAACCCAAATATAGAGAGGCAAATACTATATTATCTCACTTATATTTGAATTCTAAAAAAATGAACTCATGGAAATAGAGTGTAGAGTGGTGGTTGCCAGGGGCTGCAGTTGGGGGGAAATGGAGAGATGCTGGGTAAAGGGTACAACTTTCAGCTATAAGATAAATAAGTTCTGGGGATCTAGTGTACAGCATAAGGACTATAGTAAACAATACTGTACTGTTTACTTGAAACTTGCTAAGAGAGTAGATCTTAAGTGTCCTTACAACACACATGCATACACACACACATATACACTAATGGTTTGATTGTGTAATCATTTCATATTTATCAAATTGTCATGTTGTACATCTTGAATATACACAGTTTTTATTTGACAATTAAAATTTCTTTGAAAAAAATCTATCCTTGCCTCATCTGGTTTCTGATGGTGGCTGGCAATCCTCTGCATCCTTTGACCTGTGGCAGCGTAACTCTGCTTCAGTTTTCATACAGACTTTTTCAGTGCCTGTTCCTGTCTGTGTTCAAATTTTTCTCTTATTATAAGGATATAAGTCATTGTATTAGGGACCACCCTAAACCAGTATGACCTCAATTTAGTTTTATTACATTTGTAATGTTCCTACTTCCTAATAGTCACATTCACAGGTACCAGGGGTTAAGACATCAACATATTTTGGCAGCACTCAGCTCTACCCGCTACAACTGAGAATGCCGATATTAGATGTGTAAAGAGAAAAAGAAAAAGAGTGGGTATGGCTACTAGGTAAAGAAGATGGTCATCATAATTCTTTGGTGAAGACATGATTTAATTTTACATTTTACAGTAATTTCTATAAAATTTAATAAATATTTTTACATTTATAAGTTAATTTAATAAAAACAAAGTCACCACATTTCAACTTGCCTTAAAGTAGTTTAGGACTTTCTGGTGTAATTTTTTATTTGTTGTCTTACCTAATCTGATACTGCAAATGTAAAACTACCCTCAGGTGCTGAAAGTAAAACCATGGTACATAGGTAGGTTGTGAAAGAAGTTATTTTGGAATTCCATTTTAGAATTTAAAATATCATGGACTTGATCAGATATGGCGGCTCATGCCTGTAATCGCAGCACTTTGTGAAGATGAGGTGGGAGGATCACTTGAACCCAGGAGTTCAAGAGCAGCCTGAGCAACATGGTGAAACCCTATTTCTTATTTTCTAAATTTATTTTTTTAAATAAGATAAAATATCATGAGCTTTATAGAACTTAAAACATCCCGTAATTTACATATAATGAATTGTCATTGCCGCTTGCATTACAACAAAATTATATCTTATCACTAGTCCCTCATGGGAACAGCTGATTTTAATATTGCTTATATTAATTTGATTGTTACTAATTGTACAACTCCTCACTAAACAAAGTAGGAAACATCGTATAAAAAACTTCCTAAGGAAAAAGTCTGCGTATAATTTTGTTATATCTTGTTTTCCATAATTAAAGCGTGTAAAGTAAGAAAGGGAATTCCTCAACCATCCTTGCTTTGGAAGTTCTGCAATCCTCATAGCATTGGCTTATGTAGTGCATCTTTCCTCTCACAATTACGTAAAAAAGCTAGAGCATATGTCATTGTTTCCATTTTAGAGGTAAAATTCAGAGAAGCCTCACGTCACTGAGAGAGTCAGAAAAGGAGCTGAGACCCAGGTCCTAGGACCAGGGTGATACTACCATGCTACAAAATGACCCCTTCATTATTACCTTCGTAGTTTCTTTCACATTGATCAGCAAAATTTCACAGCAAAAAGGTTGATTAATGATCAATTAATGATTAAACGATTAATATCACCTAATTAAGGTCATGCTTGATAAATTTAAAGGTCTTGATAATAGTAAGGTTATAAAATATTTGAACACAATTAATGTATGTGAAAGTTTGTACCCCAAATAGAAGATACATGTTCATTGTATGCACACATGGAACTTTTTTAAGTGTATACTTGTCCACAAAACAAAATTTCAAGAAATAAGAAGATATGTCATGAAATAATGTTGTCTGAACAAAACACAATACAATTGAAAATTTTAAAAAATCCAAACACAAATTTTAGAGAACTTCTTTGAAAAACCTTTATATCAAAGAAATTCTAATAAAAATTAACCTTTAGAATTAAATGACAATGGTAACACTGAAGATCAATACTTCGGAAATGAGGTTAAAGTCGTAAAGGAATGTATCACCTTAAATATTAAAATACAAGATGACTGAAGAGCAAACTGTTAAGTCAGAAAATAACAGATTAAAACTAAAAAAAGGAGAAGGTAGAACATAAAAAAAGTATACAATTATTCTATGTCCCCATTTACTCATCTCCTTTTTAGGGATGCTGGAATCTCAGGAATAAGAACTGCGTCTAACAACAAGGAGCCTGAGATTTCTTTGCAGGAGCAGAGGATTTCTAAAGACACCTATTTCAACATAATTTGGAAGAACAAACCTAAGGCATTGAAACTGAACATCATAATTAAATGATTTCCTATCAGGATGGTGTCCGATACTGGTTTTCCTTAAAAAGCCAAATATAACTGTACTTTCAAAATGTAAAGCTATATAGACACAGATATGTAAAATTAAAATAGCCTTTCAGACCACATCTAAAATGTAAAATACTATGGGAGGAAATGAAATTTATATTTTATTTATTATACTTTCAAGGACCCGTAAGGAGTTATCAGAATTCTCAGTGACTATATTTTTTGTCCTAGGTAAGTGACAAACGATATGGTTTCAAGACTTTGTATCTGCAAAACACATCATTCCCTGAGGCAGGTGTACTCGCTAATGGCACCACTCTTAATTTCCATTAGGTAATGGGAAAGAAAAGTAAGGAGTGAGCTACAACTCCATTGCAAACAAACAGTATAACATCACAGCACAATTGCTCAACCACATAACCTAGCACACTCAAAATTAGCAAAACAAAGCAGATAAAGCAGACAAAATAGCTGTCACAACATCTATTTGCTAAAGGTGATACGTTTTAATCTGAAAATAATTTTATTTCTTTACTTAAACCTCTCTATTCCTATTTGACATGTTATTCAAATATATTGTCTTCCATATGATGCTTTATAAATTCATGTGCCCTTCTAAAATCAACTAATTTGTGGTATTTTGATTATTACTATCCTCTATCCCACTAGGCTGCCTCCAGAATAAATTAACACATCAGATGTTAATTCTCTATTATGAGTCTGCTCCCCCCAGGATTATTCGCACCATGAGGGAGGAATATTGCCTAATGCATCACTGTTCCATCAGCACCGCACACTGCCCATAGCCACTGTAGGCACTGAAGTTTGTTGAAAAAAGAAGAAAATGTGGGGGAAAAAAGGAGGGAGGGAGGAAAAGAGAAACAAGAAGTAGTAAAATAGAAAAGGAAAAGTGGTTAAGACTAGAGGCAAATAGCCTAGTGGAAGCAAAAAGTGGTAATTCGCAGTCTTACTTTAAGAGAGTAGTCAGAAAAAAATAAGGGAGAATTAATTATTCTAAAATTATAGCATTTGAATTGTTTGGGATTTTTGTTTGTTAGATTATTTTAGTATAGGGAGAAACAACTAGACACGTTACAACTATCCCATGAAAATTATGCTAAGAGTAGAATTTCCAATGCCATGGGATATGGAAATTCACATTCACAGGCTTACCCATTTTTTCTCTCCAAAAACTGGCCACTAAAGGGCTTCACTTTAGATATAAGGAGCTAAAATTTGAATGCATTCTCCAATGTGCGTATGTTGGAAACTTAATCTCCAGTGCACCTAATAACAGGTGATTAGGTCATGAGGGCTCTGCCTTTGTGAATAGATTAATGTCGTTGTGATGGGAATGGGTTAATTATCTCAAGAGTGAGTTTGTTATAAAAAGGAGTTAGACTTTCTCATGCTGCCTTGTACTATCTTGCCCTTCTACTTCCACCGTGGGATGACACAGCAAGAAGACCCAATAAGATGCTAGCATTTTGAGGTTGAACTTCTCAGCCTCCCAAACTGTGAGAAATAAATTCTTTATTAATTACCCGGTCTGTGATAGTCTGTTATAGCAACACAAAACAAGCTAAGATACATGAGAAACATTATTTATAATGCAGCCTATTTACTGATGTCTCCAGATAACTGTAATAATGAGCAGAAAGAATGTCCATTAAGATTTAAAAGACCTCAATTAGAATTGAAGAATTGATGAGACATTAGAGAGGGACAGAAAAAGATAGCATTTATCTCCATAAGTGTTTACCAGCTGCTCCATTTTCTTCCAAGTGCCCTTTGTGCTTAGAAATAAATAAATGTATGGGATAGGTTAAAAAAAAAAAGTATCCCTGTCTTAAAAACTACCAAACATGACAAATGAGTTCATGTGAATGACATTCTACTCAACAACACTGGATAATGGATATTGGATATTTATGAGTATGCAACTACACAGAACCATATAGCTGGCCCTATATTAAATGCCTGATGCTAAATCACAAAACTTAGCTTATTAAACACGAGCTATGAAGATGGCTGGCAGCTCCCTGATCAAAATGAACTTTGTGAAGAATTATTTACCAGACCCCAATAGCCAGCAAATGACACCAGATCACCAGTGGTTTGCATATACTAGTTATTATCTTATGAATTTTTGAAATATTTTGCTTTTGTCCTCAGGGGGAGCAATATTCATAGTATAAAATACACGATTTCCCTGTGACTTGACTAAGAAAGTATAAAATATGGATTGCTAGAACCACAAAGAAACACTTATCAGGTTAAAAAGGTACCAAATGACAAATAATGAGAAAGAAAACTTTGCATTACACACTATCCTTTCCACAAGTGATAGTGCTCACTTATTGGGAACCAATCATGCATGAGGTCCTATGCAAAGGTTAAGTGATTTGCTCAAAATGGCATGGTTTATAAATGCCAGAGGCAGGATCCAAAACCAAGACTGTCTGATGACAAATTTATTTCTCTAGTATATACTCAACTCTTACTTCAGTTTATCCTTATAACAACCCTGGAATTAAGCAGAGCAACCATTGTTGTATTCACTCATTTATTCACCATGCATTCATTCATTCAACAAACACTTACTCAGTGCCTGCTATGTACTAGTCATTATACTTTAGTGGTTACAGAGACTTAGGTCCAGAGAAATTAAATCTTCTGAAAGAGATTATTTCTTGCATTCTTCTTGTTGTTTGCATTTTTCAAAATATCTTACGTTGATTATCTATATTCAACCCAGAGTAAGGCAATTTAATTATTCAGACATTTGTATTGTCATGGAATGTTTTCATAGGAGACATAATGTTTAGTAATTTATCAGCCTGAGTAATAGCAGTCCTCAGTAATTAGGAGCAGTAGACTGAGGCTACATACAAATGGTGCTTCTAATCTCCTATATGCAATATGAGACTGATTATAGTTTGTGAATTTATATAGAAGCAATGTACCTCGGTAACAGCAACACCTGGAAACATAGGAAGCTATTTCCTTTGCATAACTTCCCAGTGTATAGATTATTACCAGATTTCTTCTAAATACTTTTCTCTTTTAGGATACTGATTAATATCACAAATCTAAGGAGTATAACAATGAATCCAAAGCACCTACTGAGTGTTTAGCCAAGTGCAAAGTGCTAGTGATACAAAACAAGTATTAAGCCAGTTCTGGGTGTCAAGAAGTTTTATGCTCTAATGACTTGAATTGATGGATGACCAAGGTCAGTGATATAGGAAGAATGAGAGGAAGAAAACATGTAAGGGGACAGCAGAACATTAACAACAACAAAAGTTTTTGTTCAGGGCTATAGGAAGGCAGAGATATTGGAGAATGGAGAGTATTGAGTCATAGAGTAGATATTGAGTAAACTCAAGGAAATATTAGGCATTATTAACTTGAAGGGAAGGAATTTGCTACCTGAGAGAGTGTCAGCATCCCAGCCACTGCCAGGTAGCCTGAGAGAGAGAAACTCTCTTTTCTTGCAAAAGATGAGCTTGGGTTTGCATACTCATCATAACTGCTCACCATATGAAATATTTGAGAATTCCTATTTTCTACTTTCCACCTTATTTATGTTTATGTGACAATTCACGTTTTTTTGTGATTTTTGCAGGGGAAACAGGGCCTTTGTATTCTGACACTCCATTTAGTTTCTGGGGTTTTATTTTGTTAAATTGTAAATAAAGCATTTTGTTTAAAGTGTTCAAACTGTATAAACTTCAAATAAAAAAAAGCTTAAAGGTAAAAAAATTTAAAAACAAACTGTACCAACTTACATTAAAATAGGTACAACCAATGGGTGTTTAAGTAATCTCAAAGTATTTGTGATCATCTCTCTCCTTATAAGACATTCCCTGAGAAGCTTATTGATAAGCTTGGGTGAAAGGCAGTGATGATATAATAAAGTAGGTGGTAAATTTGAAGTTAAGTCCATAATTTAAATTTTACTTTCATCATAAAAGATTGGGGAGACCACGGGCAAGGCTCTTAACTTTAATGTGTGTGATTCATATAACTAAAGTGTCCTCAGTTGTCACTAGAGTGTGAGTACAATTGGTCTGCATGAACACTAAAATTTCATTGGCTTTGTCTCTATCTTACAAAAACTTCTCAAAATCTCAACCGATTATTTTAGGAAGTTCCTAGATGGTCTCAACTAAGATCAAGAACATGTCTGTTAGTTACAGCATAGTAAATGGTATGCTGCTCTGTCATTCCTACCTCCTGAAGCTCCTCACATTCACGGCTGACAATCAAACTTTGATGTCCATTCCAAAGATTCTCACTCCTAACATTGCAAAAAGCCTCCTCTCAAACTGCCTGCATATCCAGAGGATCAAGCTACCAGCATATTATTCCATAGAGTCAGGTAATCAAGGCATCAGTGCCTCAAGGGCATTTTAATTGGGATTGAGAAGAATGCTATCTCAGTTTGCTTGGGCTGCTATAAAAAAAAGTCATATAAACTGGGTGGCTTATAAACAACAGAATTATTTTATTTTTTTCTTACGCTTCTGGGGGCTTAGAAGTCCAAGATCAAGGCACGGGCAGACTCAGTGTCTGGTGAGGTTCTGCTTTCTGGTTCATAAATGGTACTTTTTTTTACTGTGTCACCAAATAGGGAAGGGAAAGCTGGCTCTCTGGGGCCTCTTTTATAAAAGCACTCCACCCATTCAAAAGGTCTGCACCCCTATTCCATATTTACCTCCCAAAGGCCCACCCTCCTAATGGCACCACCTCGTGGGGTAGGATTTTAACATAGGAATTCAGAGGCATGCAAACATTCAGACAATGGCAAATACCTTTCCACCCAATTGTTACTACCCTGGACATTGCACTGTGGCTACATGTCTCATGGACTCTAGAAGAAATCACTCCTTCAGCTTTTGCCATCACTGCTTTCTCTAAAGGGCTCAGACATGAGTTCTGTGGAGCTGAACTGCCCAGAGGTTGTCACAACCCTTTGCTGTCTACTCTCTAAACTTGAAGTGTAAAGAATGCCACACTTCTTTCTTTTCCTTAGTCATAGAACATCTACCATTACCCAAAGTTCTCTAGAATTGTGCGTCAGTCATTTTGTGGCCCCACTTTTCCTTCTCTTAGGTTGCTTCTTAACCTGGGGGCTTCAACACTTCAAGAGAAACTAGGGAAAATAATTTCCAATCCAGGACCATGAGTCAAAATCAATGTGTCTTGCTCATGTCCCTAGAGTCAGTATGAAGAAGGTTGCCTGCTTCCCTGTATTAGCTCCAGTCTTACCAAGTCTCTGTACAAGTTTTACTGGCATTTCCACCCCAATAGGGCTTGGTCCCCAAATCTCTAAAGGCTCCCATGGAGAGCAACCAGACATGGATCTCAGCTACTTGCAGAGACTCTCACTCTGCAGGCTTCCCAGTCTTAGGAAGCCCCATTATCACTCCCTCTTTCTGTTGTCCTCCCCTTCTCTTCTCTTTTCATTTCATTTCCCCCAGAAATGGCATTATAACCACTTCCTTCCTTTCTCAGATAATCCAGGTTTACCTACTTGAAGGGCCCAGACCAGGAGTCATAGAATCAGTCAGTTCCTTAAATGTCGACATGTTGGTTAGTTTATAACATTTATGCCAACATCAAAAACTAGAAGATTATACATTTAGAATTTTTGTAACTTCTCTTAATAAATAAAAAAATCTGATGAATTGAGTCCACATTCCTGCATGTCAAGAGTGGGCAGTAACTGAGTAGCACTTTAGATAGGGCACACACTCAACAGTTTCCTACAGTCCTCACCACTCCTGACTGGTTACACCTAGCTCTCTTCATTGTTTTATGGTAACTGTTTGGCTGTTGTAGTCATCAGAGTTTGCAACCCTTGGCCTGGACCTTACCAATAAAAACTATACAGCAAGATTTTCTTTACTTGGTGTCACTGTATCTGGCAACTTTCAGCTGTGAAATGCAAAAACAATTTTAATATTTTCTGTGTTCTGAATGCTTGTGTCCCACCAAAATTCATATGTTAAAATGTAATCACAAAAGTGTGATGGTATTAGAAGATGATGCCTTTAGAGGCTCTGCCCTCATGAATGAAATTTGTGCCCTTATGAAAGAGAACCCAGAGGGCCAGCTCATCCTTTCTACCTCTGAGGACACAGTGAGAAGGCACGATTTATGACTCAGAAAGTGGGACCCCATCAGACACCAAATCTGCCAGTGCCTTGAACTTGGACTTCCCAGCCTCTAGAACTGTGAGAAATAATTTTCTGCTGTTCATAAGCTACTCACTTTATGGTATTTTTCATAGCAATCTGAACAGACTAAGACAATATTCCTCTGGGGCATGAACACGCAGAAATCCAGAATATGGGCCCTGATTGTCCAATCCTCTGAATGGGGAACCAGAAATTACCTTTTTATTCTTTGGTTGATGAGTCCAAAGTACCATATTTTGTATGCTAAATTGCTAAATATGACTCTTTTACTTTTACACCTCTTGTATTCCTCTAATATGTACAACTATGTCCTCTTCTAATATAAATACACCCTCCTCTAACATGCTTTATTCCCTGCATGTGAACCAATGCATGCAAAACACATGCCTGCCTCATCCCCCATCATCAAACTGTACCAATGCCAGCCTGACCACAGTGGATTCCAGCAATAATAATATAATGCCCACTTCTCAGAGGTGTAAGAATTAAATAAAATTATGTGTTTAGGTTCTGTTTTTGCCATTGTTTAACCTCTCCATTGCCTATCCTCATTTCAATTGCTACAGCCCATCTGTTCAGATTTGTCAGAGTCTAATAAATTGTCTGAGGAACCAGATGGATAATTAAGGCTGAAGAACAGAATAGGGGTATTAAGCATCCCGTGGACACATCCCCAAACTCTGTCCTTGGAAAATTGGAGAAGGAAAAAGTATCCTTTTGTTGGCTATGAGTCATTCCTTTGGAAACCTGAACAAGGTAAATTTAAGTCACAAGCCTGAGTTTTGAGGGCAGAACCTAATAGAGCTCAAGATTTCCACCAAACTTAAATCTCTGCTGACTGACATCAACAAAGATACAAGCCACCTCTTCAGATTGTGTAACAATGAGAAAACAAGTGGGAGCTGTCAAAGAAATGGAATTTGACTTGCTTTTATGGAAGAAATTAATCAACCTGACTGTATCTTAGAAAAAGACAAGTGAAAGGTTGAGTCTACCTCTAACATCTTTTAAACTTCCTCCAAAAAATAGCAAGTGAATATAGGGCATTTCAATTTACTCATAATCAAATGAGGCTAAATGATTGTAAATTTATTCATATCAGTTTCTATACCAATAATTTCACTTTGGTTTTTATGAAGAAATGTCCTTTCCCCTTTTCGAGATAATTTCTTCGCCTATATCCTTGAGCCTCAATTCTGTTTTCTCATCTTGCCATTAGACTTATTCCATTAATATTTCTTTCTTCTCCTATGTTTTTTCTCCCCCTCTCTCCCTCTCCCTTTCTGTCTCTCTGAACTTCTCCATATTTTATAGCTAAAACTTTATTCCAAGTTTTAAAGAAATACACACATATATACATTTTGACTGCTTTAGGACAGACACTTAGGTAACTATCTACTTCATCACTCTTCTTCCCATTATGGCCTGACCACTTGGAAAACCAGTTTACTCATGACCTCCACCCTCCAATTCCCCATTCATTAACCCAACACACCACTGAAATTACTCTTTTCAAGGACACCAATCCATTTTACTCATGTATACTTTGTAGCTAATTAACGTGGACCTAGTTTCATTCTTAGTCTACTTATTTACCTAAATAAAAATGTCCTCTTTAATGCTCTATCTTCCCTTTGAGTCCATTGTGCCATGGCATCTAGGTGCTTTTCCTGCCTCTTTTTTTTTTCTTGATCTTCATAGTTACATTCTTTTGCTTTACTTTCCCACATAAATGTTGGTGGTACCCAACATTCTCTTCTGTGCCAACTTTTCACTTTAATAATCTCCCTGGGCAACCTCATTCAAGTGCAGGGACTTAACTATTACCTCCACCTTGATGATCTTCAAATAATATACATTGCTACTCAGCAGATCTCTTTCCTGATATTCAGAACTAATATCCAACTGCCCATATAGGTCATCCTGGAGATACTTCAGCTCAATATAGGTAGAACCAAAATTAAACCTATCTTTCCTCTTAGGATCTAAGTTGAGTACTGGCATTACCATCTGACAACCAGTCACCTAAGCCAGGTGTCATCCTAGGTTTCTCTTTCTCCTTTGTACTCCATTGATCATAAAGTTTTTCCAAGTCGACTTCCCAAAAAAGGTGTTCCATCAGTCATCGTGATTGCTTAACTGGGCTGTGGAACTCCTTAACGGATACTCCTGGCTTCATTCTTGGCCTGCTCCAATCTATCTTCCACGCCAATCCATCTTGCCTGAGGTTGTTCTATTGTGTTACCACCCTAATTAAATCTTTATCATTTATTAAGTTTGTAATCATTTCTTTTAAGGTTAAGTCTGTAGCATGCTTACTTTGGCCCTCTATGATATGGCTGCTGGTTACCTCTCCAATCTCATTATCTGCCTTTTCTTCCTCGGCAATTTGGAGCATGTAAAGTTTTGAGGACACGCCATTTTATTGCATGGCTTCATGCCTTTACCCATGTGCTCTTTGTCATCTATCCTCACTCCCCTTGTCTACATTCAAAAATTCTACTCTTCCTTCTCTCTTCTTGGATGCTTTCCTTGAATACCTCATCTTTGTCTGCCACTTACTACCAAGAGAAGGTTGAGCATTTCCTCTTTTGCATCTCCATCTGTTTTTATGCCCTATTGAAGTACCAATCACACTAAAATTTGCCAGTTATAGATCTAGTTATCTTCCCCTCTTTTAAAAATAGGATCTCTAAGAGAGAAACATTATATTTTGTCTTTGAGTCTTCAGCACCTAGCCTAGTGCCTGGCTCCTAGCAGGATGTTAATAGATGAGGAATAAATGGATAATTTCAATTTATAAATAGGCAGTAAGAGCTTAACAAAATGTATTAAACTGGGGAAATAATCATGAATTAGCACTCAGAGGAACTTACAGTCTAGTGATACTTATAAATCAAGTGACTTATACACAAAAAAAACACAACAGAAATTGATGGATATATTGTCACTGGTGTGACTTCACAGAATAAGTGTGTTATTGTTATTATCTGTTATTGTAAGTATCCAGATTTGCATAACAGATAAGATAGGAAGCAGTTACTTACTTTTCACAAACGTTACTATTTTGTTAGTGGATTTTCCATAGGATCTCTTGAAGTTATCAGAGTCTATAAAATAAAGAAATTCATAGCAAGTTTCTTACATACAGATTGTATAAGGTTAGGTACACCACACCTCATCTTCCCGTAGCCTAGCTCTTTTATTTTATCACCCATAGGACACTCAAGAGTGATGCTCAAATAACTTCTTAACAGGCTCCAAAAGTAAAAATCAAGTCAGGTCAAAATCAAAGGACATAAGGCAGGAGGCCAGTGGAAAATTACTTTCCAGGATTTAAGAACTGGCATGCTGAAAATGTGAAGCCAACATCCATTTAATATTGAAGCTGTTGCTTTACACAGGTTCCAGAGGGGTGTACTATCTGAATTACGTAAAATTCCAAGCATATTTCATTCATTCATTAAACAAATGTATTTAAAAGTGACTCTGTGAGCCCAGAGTGTCTTACGCCTATCAGAAGAGCCTAACTGCCCACTCAATGTAATTTGTTCAGGTTAGTCCCAGCACAGAAGAGCTTGGGGCCCTTGTTTCATGTTTGAAGTAATCAGTGTCCTCTTAATCTCCTAAACATGATTGAGAAAGAATGCCATCTTATTTCTTTTAGCTACCATCTTGCAACCTTCAAGAGAACCAGCTTTTGGCAATTACCTGCCAGAGGCTGGAGGAGGCAGGTGGATGGGAAAGGGGGAGATGTTGATCAAAGGGTACAATATTTCGGTTAGAAAGGAGAAATAAGCTGTAGTAATATCTTGCACAGAATGATAACTATAATAAATAATACTATGCTGTATATTGATTTCTTTTAAATTTAGGGACAGGTTCTCTCTCTGTTATCCAGGCTGGAGGGCAGTGGCTCAATCATAGCTCACTGCAGCCTCAAACTCCTGGGCTAAAGTGATTCTCCCACCTCAGCATCCCAAGTAGCTGGGACTATAGGTACATACCACCACACCCAGGTAATTTATAAAATTTTTATTTTGGAGAGGTGAGGATCTCGTTATGTTGCCCAGGCTGTCTTGAATTCCTGGCTTAAGTAATATTCCCACCTCAGACTCCCAAGATGTTCGTATTACAGGCATAAGCCACCATACCCAGCCTTGCATTGTATATTTCAAAATTACAAAAAGTGAACTTTAAATGTTTCCACCACAAAAAAATAAGTATGTGAGATGGATCTGTTAGTGTGATTTAATCGTTCCATAATATAAACATAAATCAAAACATCACATTGTACTGCATAAATATATATAAAATTATTATTGTCAATTACAATTTTTTTAAAAAGAGAGAGAGAGAGCAAGCCTAAGGATGAGGCAGGTACTGAGAAAAATCACAGATAAACAAGACCAGATGCTGATCAACTCTAGGTTTTACAGTAATGTGAGTAAATGAATCCCAGTATTGGTTAAGTCAGTGTGTTCTGAGATATCTGATATTTGTAACAAAAGTCACCCTAAATTAGAGAAAAAATAAGAACTAGATCATGAAGGACCCTTTAAACATGTTAAGGCATTTGACTTAAAGAGACTAGGAAGCCACTGAAAAGTCTTATACGGAGTAATAGCATGACTGTTGACCTTAATAAACTTTGACTTTCATCAAAGGGAAGATGATAATCTGAATTTTATAGTTTGGCTTAGTATTTCCTAAAGGAACTCTATAGAGGAATTCTATAAGTGAATTGATAACATGTTTGTCCATACATCAATAACAAGTTTTTGCTAACAACTCTCCTACCTAAACAGTATTTATAAACACTGCCAAATCTTTCCTCTTACTTATTAACAACGCCAACTCAGATTCTAAATAGCAATTATCAGGAAGTTTTTATGAGAAGTTCTCTGCTGCACCCAAACTGTAGAGTCAAGAGTCCTGGAGAACCAAGAACAGCTTTGGTCCTATTGTCCAGGTGGTTTGATTGTGAAAAAGATTCTACTGGTGTCATCTTTGAAACGTTTCTTTCCCCTATTCCCCAAGAGTTTTGTTTATTCTATTTCCAAAATGTGTATTTAATCCAAATCCATGCACTGAACTTGGTCTCCACTGTTACTTCTTTAAGGAAAACTACTATCAGGAACATAAACTATTGAAAATATGCCTTCATTGGCGCTCCATTCCCACACCTACCTGCAGCCAGCATGAGCACTCTAGTGCTAATATTCTCCTAATAAAAACTTGTCAATGGTCTCCCAGTGAGCTCAAGATCAAAATCAGAATTCTTGATATGACTTCAAGGATGCTCTAGGATCTGTGCTCTCCTGTGCCTCAGCTTCATATTAACCAATGTCATCTTCAGCACTCTCTCTGGCACTCATCATGCGTGCAGTCCAGGACTTCTCTTTGCTCTACAGACACACCACATGTCTCCCCTAAGGACCCTGCATTAGTGCCCCTGCCTGGCTTCTCTTTGGCCTCCTCCACATTTAGCAAATAATTTTTCTGGATTCAGGTCAATGTAACTTTACCAAGGAGACATCTTCTAACCACTTTGCTATATTAAGTCCACATGTTACCTGCTTTCATAGCGCTCCATGCTTTACCTTCATGTCCTTTTCACAGTAGCTAATGATATATTTATTTGAGTAATTATAAGTTAATGTCTATCTCTCTTGCTTAACTGTTAACTCCATAAAGTTTCATGGATATGTGATTCTTTATTTAATCCCAGAACCTAGCATAGGGCCTGGCACATAACAAGCATTTAATATAAATGAATCAATACACTAATAAATCAGCATGACTCTGTTTGTCATACAAATTTAGCCATGCCTCCTTAGGTATTTCTTTGCCATTCACAAGGTCATTTGCTGAAGAAAAAAGTCCTCAACTGAGCTCTACCATTCACTAGTCATGTGACTGTAAAGCAAGTCACTTATCTCTGTAATTTATTCATCTTTACTCAGTTTTCTCCTCTATAATCATAGGTACCAGATTGTTTCTTTTTTAACTCTTGTGAATTGCACAAGTTCTTTACAAGTGGGTACATTTTTGCCCTTCTTTTAATCACCAGAAGAATAAATTGCTTGCTTTCATTTGATAACAAGTTAACAACTGAACATCACAAAATGTATTTGACAGAAGTCATTTGCATCTTTCCCTTACTTCTTATTCTCCTTGGCATTTTTCTTAAGTAAGAGATTTGCCCAAAATGCATATATGTTGGAATAAGTCTGTGTTACCATGGCAATAACCAGAAATAAAAGCAATGTAAAAAAATGTGTTACAGCCTTTCGATTACAGTCAGGAATGAGATCTAAGGAGAATATCTTCAAAATTAAAAACCTTCCCAAAGTAGAATCAAAATTTCTACTACAATAATGTTTTTGCATGCAGTCTACCTTTTTCATCCTGACTGTTGACAATCAGCCAGAAATAAATAATCAGAAGTCATTCAAAAATATTTGTATAAAGAAAATATAAACAAAGTATGCTCTGTGGGGACTCTTCCTGCTCAAATTGGGATGGGAGAGTCTCCCACCCAGAAAGAGGGACTTCCTCTTCTGCTTCCTGATGCTCTTTGTTTCAGGAGAATGAAGGCTCAGGGCTACTAGCAGCTGCTGAACTCATGCCTCATGCTGAAATCAAGATCATAAACCAAGTTAGACATGTTTTCAGTCCCTCTCTTCTCTCTTAGAGTTAGAGAAAGAGTAGGCCAATCTAAATGCTCAGTGCCAAATCCTAGGCTTTACTGAGGTTTGATCATGTGCCAAAACACTGCTAACAACAGAACATACCATGACGATTAAGACATGGCTCTGCCTTTAAGGAGCACAGAGTCCGATGTGCAGGAGAATCATTTATGACATAGCAGAGGACAGAACAGGGCAGAGGCATACACAGAGTGATTAGTGTAGCACAGAAAAAGGGGTAAGGAAAGAAGGGCATGGAATTTTTTATAGAAAAATCAATGCTTTGTAGGAATCTTGCAGTACAAGTAGGATTTGCCCAGAAAAAAGGGAGTGGAAGCAGGAGTAACATTGAAGACATTTAACAGGCTGCACAACCTAGGCACTGACTGATTAAGTCTCTAGTCTGGAGCAGGGTCTTGAAACCCCACTCCCACCATGACAGGTGTCTGATTTGTTAGACTAGCAGGGAGGGAGCAAAAATTCCTGTAGAAAAAGACATAGTTGTGATAATTCATGTATTTGTACAAAAGCATTTTGATATTTTAACAACCAGTGTATCCATGCTCGTGTGTGTTCACTAAATATCTATCCTGATTTGGGGGAGAAACTTATAGACAGCCAAAACCATCTGCACAAAACACAGGGTGCCAAGAGACCATGGAGAGTCTCAAGCTGCTCCAAGTTTAAACCCTGCAGAACTGAGACCAAAGATGATGATGCTGAGAAGACAGGCAGAGGCCAGTTCCTGAAGAACCTTTTTCCCCAGACTAAGATCATCAAATTGTTTTCAGTTGATGGTAAGACACAGAAGACTTTAATGCAGGTTAGTGAAGTGGTTAGAGTCATATTGTAGAAAGATCACTTTGGCCTTAGAATGAGGATTAAATTTGTGAGGAGAAATGTTTGAAAGCAAGAAGACACAGTAAAGGCGGCATCTGTTTCCAGCAGCAGGGCAGAGGAGATTCTCTGAAAGCCCCTCCTGCTCCAATACAACTAGAAACTGGATAAAATGACTAGGATCACAAGACAGAAAGGAAAATTGTCAAAAACTAAAAGACAGAGAAGACAGCAAACTGAAAAGAGTCAGGAGCAGGGAGCTTTTTGAAAGAAAAAGCTGATAACCAGCTTTGGGATCTACAGACCAAGTCCAGGTCCAGCCCCAGCTCACAGAGATGAATCTAAGACCTGCAGTAAGTGGGGTAGGTGTACATTAAAACACCACAGTGTGGACAATATGCCCAGTCATCCCCATAATCTATCAAGATTTTCTTATTTGAGGCTACTTATTTAAAAATTATATGTTTAGTATGGTGATATCTTCCTGTTGAGGGGAATCCTATGTAATTATGTAGCAAATTTTTTACATGTTTATTTCCCTGAAATCTATCTTGCCTGCTATTAATATAGTAACAGAATTTTTCTTTTGGTAGTATTTGTCTATTATATTTTATTTCCTTCCTTTTGCTTTAGTTTCTCTACATCTTTATGTTTATTTATTTCTTAAGTAGAATATAGTTACTTATTTTAAAAATCTTTATGAATCTTTCTACTTAAACTAGTGAGCATAGTCTTCTTGTACTTACTGTAATTAGTGACATATTTGGATATTTTTTACTATCTTGGCTAGCACTTCCTGTTTTCCTTGTTGTTTATGCTTCTCTTCTTCACTTTCTTGCCTTTATTGGAATAATTTAAGTATGTTTCTGTTTAATTTCATACTTTTTCTTCCTTTACTGATTTGGAAGTTGTACGGTTGTTTACTGTTTTGAATAGTTGTCCAACTACTATTTTAGTTACTCTTCATGGTATGTTACAAAAATGTACAGTCATGCACCACTTAACAACAGGAATACATCTGAAAAATTCACAGTTAGGTGATTTTGTCCTTGTTTGAACATCATAGAGTGTACTTCCGTGAACCTAGATGATATAGCCTATTATACACTTAGGCTATATGAAAAAGTTATTGTTTCTAGGCTAGTGACCTCTACAGCATGTAACTGTACTCAACACCGCAGGCAACTGTAATATAATGGTAAGTATTTATTTATCTAAACATATCTAAACATAGAAAAGGCATAGTAAAATTATGGTATAAAAGATAAAAAATACTACACCTATATATGGTACTTACCATGAATGGGGCTTGCAGGTCTGGAAGTTGCTCTGGGTGTCAGTATGGTAGTGGAGAGTGAAGTGAAGGCCTAGGACATTAGTGTACACTACTGTAGATGCTATAAACACTGTACACATAAGCTACACTAAATTTATTAAAAATATTTTTCTTTCTTCAGTAATATGTTAACCTTAGTGTAGAGTCCAGATAAGTTAGCAACAATAAAGAAGGGGCCTCAGGGTGGGGGAGAACAATTCTTCTGAGAAATGGCTAACCACAACCAACCAACTTGCACAGCATCCCGTTCCCAAATACCTCGTTCTGTACGTAGCCCCAGGAGCATGACCCTATCTGCACATAACCTCTCCAGCACAACCATATAAAACATCCCTCTAGATCCTATCTCTTGGCAGACATCTTTCTCCCTGCTGTACTGCCCATTGCTCTCTTGCAACGTATTTTCTTACTTTCTCTAATAAATCTGCCTTTCTTTACCTATGACTGTCTTTGTAAATTCTTTGACCACCCACAACGCCAGCCCCAGCCACGCACACCCATGACACTTACCTTACTGTAACTCTTTGACTTTATAAACATTTTAATATTTTTAAACTTCTTGCTCTTTGTGATAACAATTAGCTTAAAACACAAAGCCATTGTACATCTGTACAAAAAACTTTTTTTGTCCTTATAAGCTTTTTTTCTATTTGTAATTTGTTTTCTCTTTAAACTTTTTTTGTGAAAAACTAAGATACAAACACATGCTAGCCTGGGCCTACACAGGGTCAGAACCATCGAAATCACTGTCTTACACCTCCAGATCTTGTCCCACTGGAAGCTCTTCAGGGGCAATAACACACACGGAACTGTCATCTCTTGTGATAACAATGCCTTCTGGAATATCTCTTGAAGGACCTGCCTGAGTCTATCTTTTTAAGTAGAAGGAGTACATTCTAACATAATGATAAAAAAGCGTAGTATAGTGAATCCATAAACCAGTAACAGAGTAGTTTATTAGCATTATCAAGCATAATGTACTTATATGTACATAATTGCATGTGCTATACTTTTATATGACTGGCATCACAGTAAGTTTGTTTACACCAGCATCACCACAAACACATGAATAATGCATTGCAGTATGTAGGGATCAAGGGAAAGCATCACCTTTGCCCTCTGAAGGTTTGCTGAAACAATAACTCCCAAAGGCGAGATTAATTGGAGAAAAGGCATACAAAATATATTAACATGTACACTGGGAGAACTACAGAGAGATTACCACCCCCCAGCCCCAAAGTGGTTCAGAAGCTTATAGACAATCCTGACAAAACAGGTAATGGGAGATGGGAGAGAAGAGGAATTCTGTTGAGGGAATTACTAGGGAAAATAAATGAATCAGGGAACAGAGATTAACTTGTACAGTATCTTGTGAAAGAACCTGTTCAGGTGTGGTTATATTTTTGGTCTTACAGGGAGAGGAAAAATAAAACAACTGTTTTCCTTGGTGGGTCCAGACATTAGGTGGATAAAGGAATTTAACAACTTTATCCTGTGCTTTAAGAGACAAGGTGAGGGGGTTAAAGAGGTCATTGAGACCTTGAGGCTCCATCAGTTCAGCATGTCAAAGCACCATATTTTGGGGTATGGATTACTGAGTACCAACAACTTTGAGGTTACTATGTCTATGATGTCACTAGTTGTCAGCTCCACTATCTTATGGGGCCATAGATATCATATGGCCACTATCATATGTGGTCTGTTGCTGACACAGAATGTCATGAAGTGGTACATGACTATATTTTGTCTTTGTCCTGCTTCCTGGCACAGAGCTCCTAAAACCTTTGGAATTTTCTGAGCAATAGGAAGGTCTTCTGTTGTTCATAATGAGCTCCTTTCAATCACACTTGAGTTTGTACTAATGAGATGACTGAGGATAGATCTCCTGGATTGTCTCAGGTGGGGGCTTATCAACAGAAAGACCAAGTGATTAGAGGATTGGAACTTTCAGCCCACCCACCTGAGGAAAGGGAAGAGTAAGTATTATAAATATCTTTGGACAATGAGATTTAATGGGCTTCTGTGCTGGGGCTGGGAAGGCATGGACACCTCATGCTGCCCCCGTCACTGCACCTACTTTGCCCTAAGCATCTCTTCCACCTGGCTCTTCCTGAATTTCATTGTTTATAATAAACTGGTAAATAGAAGTAAAGAGTTCCCCTGAGTTCGCTGATGCATTCTTGCTAGAATCAAGACTGAGAAGGAGTTGTGGGAATTCCTGATTTGTAGCTGGTTGGTGAGAAGTATATAAGGCCTGAGTCTTCTGACTAACACATGAAATGGGGCAGTCTTGTGCGACCAAACCCTTAAATCTGTGGAATTTGACACTGACTCTAGGTAATGTCAAATCTGAATTGAATTGAGTTGAACTGGATTGTATTGAATTAAATTAACTTTATTTGGGTTGAATGGTCGAACCCCCAGTAGGTGTCCAGAGAATTGAAAAATTTGTTGTTGGTGATGCAAAACACTTCAGACCTTTCAAATATTGACATGCATAATTAATGAAGTCTGAAACTAATTAATGTTTTAGCCTCCCAGAATAGGTAAAGGAATTGGGACATAAAATTCTAATCACCCTCCTTATGACTTAGTTGTTATCATTTTTGTTTCCAATTCTTAATTCCTCAACATATACTTATTGTTGTGATCATTGCTATCATTCACAGAATGTTTAAATTTCTCTAGAAATTTACTAACATTATCGTTCTCTATTTCTTTTTGTATTACATATAAACTTCCTTCTGAGATCATTTTCCTTATTCCCAAAATTTATTTTTTAAAATAACTTTCTAGTTTTCTGTTAATAAATGTTCGGTTTCTAGTTTTCTGTTACTAAATGTTCTGTTTTAGAAAGGACATCCACACCAAAAACCCATCTGTACATCACCATCATCAAAGACCAAAAGTAGATAAAACCATAAAGATGGGGAAAAAACAGAACAGAAAAACTGGAAACTCTAAAAAGCAGAGCGCCTCTCCTCCTCCAAAGGAACGCAGTTCCTCACCAGCAACGGAACAAAGCTGGACGGAGAATGACTTTGACGAGCTGAGAGAAGAAGGCTTCAGACGATCAAATTACTCCGAGCTATGGGAGGACATTCAAACCAAAGGCAAAGAAGTTGAAAACTTTGAAAAAAATTTAGACGAATTTATAACTAGAATAACCAATACAGAGAAGTGCTTAAAGGAGCTGATGGAGCTGAAAACCAAGGCTAGAGAACTACATGAAGAATGCAGAAGCCTCAGGAGCCAATGCAATCAACTGGAAGAAAGGGTATCAGCGATGAAAGATGAAATGAATGAAATGAAGCGAGAAGGGACGTTTAGAGAAAAAAGAATAAAAAGAAACAAACAAAGCCTCCAAGAAATATGGGACTATGTGAAAAGACCAAATCTACGTCTGATTGGTGCACCTGAAAGTGACGGGGAGAATGGAACCAAGTTGGAAAACACTCTGCAGGATATTATCCAGGAGAACTCCCCCAATCTAGCAAGGCAGGCCAACATTCAGATTCAGGAAATACAGAGAACACCACAAAGATACTCCTCGAGAAGAGCAACTCCAAGACACATAATTGTCAGATTCACCAAAGTTGAAATGAAGGAAAAAATGTTAAGGGCAGCCAGAGAGAAAGGTCGGGTTACCCTCAAAGGGAAGCCCATCAGACTAACAGCAGACTCTTGGCAGAAACTCTACAAGCCAGAAGAGAGTGGGGGCCAATATTCAACATTCTTAAAGAAAAGAATTTTCAACCCAGAATTTCATATCCAGCCAAACTAAGCTTCATAAGTGAAGGAGAAATAAAATACTTTACAGACAAGCAAATGCTGAGAGATTTTGTCACCACCAGGCCTGCCCTAAAAGAGCTCCTGAAGGAAGTGCTAAACATGGAAAGGAACAACCAGTTCCAGCCACTGCAAAATCATGCCAAAATGTAAAGACCATTGAGACTAGGAAGAAACTGCATCAACTAACGAGCAAAATAACCAGCTAACATCATAATGACAGGATCAAATTCACACATAACAATATTAACTTTAAATGTAAATGGACTAAATGCTCCAATTAAAAGACACAGATTGGCAAATTGGATAAAGAGTCAAGACCCATCAGTGTGCTGTATTCAGGAAACCCATCTCACGGGCAGAGACACACATAGGCTCAAAATAAAAGGATGGAGGAAGATCTACCAAGCAAATGGAAAACAAAAAAAGGCAGGGGTTGCAATCCTAGTCTCTGATAAAACAGACTTCAAACCAACAAAGATCAAAAGAGACAAAGAAGGCCATTACTTAATGGTAAAGGGATCAATTCAACAAGAAGAGCTAACTATCCTAAATATATATGCACCCAATACAGGAGCACCCAGATTCATAAAGCAAGTCCTGAGTGACCTACAAAGAGACTTAGACTCCCACACATTAATAATGGGAGACTTTAACACCCCACTGTCAACATTACACAGATCAACGAGACAGAAAGTCAACAAGGATACCCAGGAATTGAACTCAGCTCTGCACCAAGCGGACCTAATATACATCTACAGAACTCTCCACCCCAAATCAACAGAATATACATTTTTTCAGCACCACACCACACCTATTCCAAAATTGACCACATACTTGGAAGTAAAGCTCTCCTCAGCAAATGTAAAAGAACAGAAATTATAACAAACTATCTCTCCGACCACAGTGCAATCAAACTGGAACTCAGGATGAAGAATCTCACTCAAAACCGCTCAACTACATGGAAACTGAACAACCTGCTCCTGAATGACTACTGGGTACATAATGAAATGAAGGCAGAAATAAAGATGTTCTTTGAAACCAACGAGAACAAAGACACAACATACCAGAATCTCTGGGATGCATTCAAAGCAGTGTGTAGAGGGAAATTTATAGCACTAAATGCCCACGAGAGAAAGCAGGAAAGATCCAAAATTGACACCCTAACATCACAATTAAAAGAACTAGAAAAGCAAGAGCAAACACATTCAAAAGCTAGCAGAAGGCAAGAAATAACTAAAATCAGAGCAGAACTGAAGGAAATAGAGACACAAAAAACCCTTCAAAAAATTAACGAATCCAGGAGCTGGTTTTTTTGAAAGGATCAACAAAATTGATAGACCGCTAGCAAGACTAATAAAGAAAAAAAAGAGAGAAGAATCAAATAGACACAATAAAAAATGATAAAGGGGATATCACCACTGATCCCACAGAAATACAAACTACCATCAGAGAATACTACAAACACCTCTACGCAAATAAACTAGAAAATCTAGAAGAAAATGGATAAATTCCTTGACACATACACTCTCCCAAGACTAAACCAGGAAGAAGTTGAATCTCTGAATAGACCAATAACAGGATCTGAAATTGTGGCAATAATCAACAGCTTACCAACGAAAAAGAGTCCAGGACCAGATGGATTCACAGCTGAATTCTACCAGAGGTACAAGGAGGAACTGGTACCATTCCTTCTGAAACTATTCCAATCAATAGAAAAAGAGGGAATCCTCCCTAACTCATTTTATGAGGCCAGCATCATCCTGATACCAAAGCCAGGCATAGACACAACCAAAAAAGAGAATTTTAGACCAATATCCTTGATGAACATTGATGCAAAAATCCTCAATAAAATACTGGCAAACCGAATCCAGCAGCACATCAAAAAGCTTATCCACCATGATCAAGTGGGCTTCATCCCTGGGATGCAAGGCTGGTTCAATATTCGCAAATCAATAAATGTAATCCAGCATATAAACAGAACCAAAGACAAAAAACACACGATTATCTCAACAGATGCAGAAAAGGCAGTTGACAAAATTCAACAACCCTTCATGCTAAAAACTCTCAATAAATTAGGTATTGATGGGACGTATCTCAAAATAATAAGAGCTATCTATGACAAACCCACAGCCAATATCATACTGAATGGGCAAAAACTGGAAGCATTCCCTTTGAAAACTGGCACAAGACAGGGATGCCCTCTCTCACCACTCCTATTCAACATAGTGTTGGAAGTTCTGGCCAGGGCAATTAGGCAGGAGAAGGAAATAAAAGGTATTCAATTAGGAAAAGAGAAAGTCAAATTGTCCCTGTTTGCAGATGACATGATAGTATATCTAGAAAACCCCACTGTCTCAGCCCAAAATCTCCTTAAGCTGATAAACAACTTCAGCAAAGTCTCAGGATACAAAATCAATGTACAAAAATCACAAGCATTCTTATACACCAACAACAGACAAACAGAGAGCCAAATCATGAGTGAAATCCCATTCACAACTGCTTCAAAAAGAATAAAATACCTAGGAATCCAACTTACAAGGGATATGAAGGACCTCTTCAAGGAGAACTACAAACCACTGCTCAAGGAAATAAAAGAGGATACAAACAAATGGAAGAACAGTCCATGCTCATGGGTAGGAAGAATCAATATCATGAAAATGGCCATACTGCCCAAGGTAATTTATAGATTCAATGCCATCCCCATCAAGCTACCAATGACTTTCTTCACAGAATTGGAAAAAACTACTTTAAAGTTCATATGGAACCAAAAAAGAGCCTGCATCACCAAGTCAATCCTAAGCCAAAAGAACAAAGCTGGAGGCATCACGCTACCTGACTTCAAACTATACTACAAGGCTATAGTAACCAAAACAGCACGGTACTGGTACCAAAACAGAGATATAGATCAATGGAACAGAACAGAGCCCTCGGAAATAACGCCTCATATCTACAACTATCTGATCTTTGACAAACCTGAGAAAAACAAGCAATGGGGAAAGGATTCCCTATTTAATAAATGGTGCTGGGAAAACTGGCTAGCCATATGTAGAAAGCTGAAACTGGATCCCTTCCTTACACCTTATACAAAAATCAATTCAAGATGGATTAAAGACTTAAATGTTAGACCTAAAACCATAAAAACCCTAGAAGAAAACCAAGGCGTTACCATTCAGGACATAGGCATGGGCAAGGACTTCATGTCTAAAACACCAAAAGCAATGGCAACAAAAGCCAAAATTGACAAATGGGATCTAATTAAACTAAAGAGCTTCTGCACAGCAAAAGAAACTGCCATCAGAGTGAACAGGCAACCTACAAAATGGGAGAAAATTTTCGTAACCTACTCATCTGACAAAGGGCTAATATTCAGAATCTACAATGAACTCAAACAAATTCACAAGAAAAAAACAAACAACCCCATCAAAAAGTGGGCAAAGGACATGAACAGACACTTCTCAAAAGAAGACATTTATGCAGCCAAAAAACACATGAAAAAATGCTCATCATCACTGGCCATCAGAGAAATGCAAATCAAAACCACAATGAGATACCATCTCACACCAGTTAGAATGGCAATCATTAAAAAGTCAGGAAACAACAGGTGCTGGAGAGGATGTGGAGAAATAGGAACACTTTTACACTGTTGGTGGGACTGTAAACTAGTTCAACCATTGTGGAAGTCAGTGTGGCGATTCCTCAGGGATCTAGAACTAGAAATACCATTTGACCCAGCCATCCCATTACTGGGTATATACCCAAAGGACTATAAATCATGCTGCTATAAAGACACATGCACACGTATGTTTATTGTGGCATCATTCACAATAGCAAAGACTTGGAACCAACCCAAATGTCCAACAATGATAGACTGGATTAAGAAAATGTGGCACATATACACCATGGAATACTATGCAGCCATAAAAAATGATGAGTTCATGTCCTTTGTAGGGACATGGATGAAATTGGAAATCATCATTCTCAGTAAACTATCGCAAGGACAAAAAACCAAACACCGCATGTTTTCACTCATAGGTGGGAATTGAACAATGAGAACACATGGACACAGGAAGGGGAACATCACACTCTGGGGACTGTTATGGGGTGGGGGGAGGGGGGAGGGATAGCACTGGGGAGATATACCTAATGCTAGATGACGAGTTAGTGGGTGCAGTGCACCAGCATGGCACATGTATACATATGTAACTAACCTGCACATTGTGCACATGTCCCCTAAAACTTAACGTATAATAATAATAAATAAATAAATAAATAAAAATAAAAAGTAAATGCTCTTTTATGGTTCAGTTATTTTACTTGGTTGGATTTAAAGGCAGTGATAGTCCAGTTATTGATGAATAGGAAGACACTAGCAGTCTAAGCCATAAAGTGGCAAAACAATGTTTTATATTATGACCTGTATTTTACATTAATTAAATGTGTGCTTTAAATAAGACATTGGCTGGACAATTATTATGTAAAGGAGAAATGCAAATGCTGTGGAGTGGGGTAGCTGCTTCACAACTGCCCTGATAACTAAAAAAATGTAAGGTGTTTAGTATTCTTGCTTCAAGGCATAGTCAGAAGTACAGGGAAGTTTTATGACTACCCAAAAAAACTTCTTATTTCTTGCAGCTATAGGGCTGGTATAATTTTAAAATTACATGAAGAGTTGTATCTGGAATTGCTAAGCTACAATGTAAGTGGAATTTACAGCCTTGCCAAGTCTCGTATGTGAAAAGTGAGACAATTATTGTAAAAGAATGGAAATCTGTGATTAAGGTAAATCTAGATGAATCTGAATATCCCAAACTTTCAAAAGCCAAAGAATTCCCCCTTGTCAGCAGAAACAACTCCTTGTCCCCTATGTGAATAGCATGGTCTTATCCTGCTTGAAAACTCTGTAAGGACCTCACCTATGATCATTATCTTGCCTTAGGATGTCAATTGTCCTTATGCCTAAAAATTACTACCCTTTATTGTCTCCAGTTGTATATCCAGAGTGAGATGAAAACGTACCTCAGAAGAGCAAATGCAGAGTTCATTCTGTAAGGACAATGATACGGTTTGGCTCTGTGGCCACACCCAAATCTCATGTTGAATTGTGATCCCCAATGTCAGGGGAGGGACCTGGTGGGAAGTGATTCGATCATGAGCGTGGATTTCCCCTTGCTGTTCTTGCGATAGTGAGTGAGTTCTCTCCAGATATGGTTGGTTGAAAGTGTGTAGTCCATTCCCCTTTGCTCACTTTCTCTCCTGTTGCCATGTGAAGATGTCTTTGCTTCTCTTTCAGCTTCCACCATGATTGTAAGTTTCCTGAGGCCTCCCCAGCCATACCTCCTGTCCAGCCTGTGGAACTGTGGGTCAATTAAACTTCTTTTCTTTATAAACCACCCAGTCTCGTGTAGCTCTTTGTAACCATGTGAGAACACATTATTACAGACAAGATTTGTACAAAAATATAGTAAAATTTTTCTAATACATATCAACAAAAACTTAGGGAATGTGTGGGAATAGATCCTAAGAATGTCAGGCAAAGGAAGAAGAAGCATAATTTTATATTGGGCAGTTTATCTGTATGGATGTACTTAGCACAAATTCTGTGTTCATTATGCCTGCTCAAACAGCTGGGAATTATTTTACAATACTTGACAGCATTTTTTTTATTTTTAAGCAATATTTACAGCATTTGGTGGTGCTACTTTGACCCATGTGCCAAGTAATTCATAAGCTCTCAGTGGTCTCAAAGAGAAAACGCACAGGATAGAATTAAATAGGCAAGCATAACTTTATTCCAGATTATTTCAATAGGAGACAAAGATTGAACTCACCTACACTAAAACACAAGGCAAAAGGATTTTTTTTTTTTTTTTGAGACGGAGTCTCGCTCTGTTGCCCAGGCTGGAGTGCAGTGGTCCGATCTCGGCTCACTGCAAGCTGCGCCCCCCGGGTTCACGCCATTCTGCTGCCTCAGCCTCCGGAGTAGCTGAGACTACAGGCACCCGCCACCTCACCTGGCTAATTGTTTGTATCTTTAGTAGAGACGGGGTTTCACCGTGTTAGCTAGGATGGTCTTGATCTCCTGACCTCGTGATCCGCCCGCCTCGGCCTCCCAAAGTGCTGGGATTACAGGCGTGAGCCACCATGTCCGGTAGGCAAAAGGATTTTTAAGAAGTTAGGTAAGCTAGTGGAAGTACTGACGACCGAAGGATGTTGGGGGGAATTGGTGAATGGGATTGGGCCGTCTGTGTTTGCTGACTGTAGGAGCATCACCGCTAAGCTCCTACCCTCCCAAAGATAGTGGTGGTATGTCTTTTAATAATTACCTTTCAAGGGGATGCCTCCCAAGTACTTGAGTAAGACTTTCCTGTAAAGTCTTACTGTAAAGCTGTAAAGCTGGCAAGAGGTTAAGAGAAGATTTATATCTCAAAGTACCAGAAAAAGAATTAACAATTGCAAGTTTTTGAAAGTAAATGTGCTGAAAGAAAAGAAAGAAAGAAAGAAAGAAAGAAAGAAAGAAAGAAAGAAAGAAAGAAAGAAAGAAAGAAAGAAAGAAAATAAGTAAATTAGGGTCCACTAGTGAAGCAGAAATGTATCTAGCCAGCCACAGTGGCTCATGCCTGTAATCTCAACACTTTGAGAGGCTGAGGCAGGAGGATCACCTGAGCCTAGGAGTCCGAGACCAGCCCGCGCAACATAAAGAGACCCCCATCTCTACAAAAAAATTAAAGAATAAAAAATAAGCTGGGTATAGTGGTACATTCCTGTGATTCCAGCTTACTCAGAAGACTGAGGTGGGAGGGTTGCTTAAGTCTAGAAGGTGGAGGCTGCAGTGAGCTGAAATTGTTCCACTGCACTCCAGCTTGGGTGATAGGATGAGACCCTATCTGAAGAAGAAGAAGAAGAAAGAAGAAAGAAGGAGGAGGAGGAGGAGAAGGAGGAGGAGGAGGAAGAAAGAAAGAGAGAGAAAGGAAAGGAAAGGAAAGGAAAGGAAAGGAAAGAAAGAAGGAAGAAACTTATCTAAAGTTTAGTCAAACTGAGGTGAACATCTTGGTCAATGGGTCCTGAGCAAGAGGATCTCTCTTGCTATTTCAGGCTGTAAGTAATCAACTCCATCACTGGGAGCTTAGGAGCCCATAGGCCCGATAGAGCTTGAAGTATATGGAGCAAACAGGATGTTATAGGGAGAAAGTATTATTAGAAGAATTTCAGTGCAATCCGCTAAGATTTTGTAGCAAAGCTATGCCATCACTGACAAATTACTCTTCTTTTGATTAACAGCTCCTGACTCAGTATTAGGTTTTGGTAGAGTCAGAGTAGATAACCACAGGCTCTAGAGTGAATACACAACCTGAGTGCCGCCTCTTGAAGTTATTGTCAGCTGACCACAAAGTCATAAAATCAGACTTGCATAGCAGGATTCTTGCAACATAGGGCCAAGATTGGTTACAAGTGATGGTTTTGTTTAATTAAAAGTTTTGGGGATACTTAATTCTAGTGGCATATGATTTATTAGTGTTGAACCCTAATGGAATTCTAACCATGGTGAGCAATGTTCTTGTTAATAATAAATTATTATGATCAGTGAATTGTAAGGAACAAGCTAATTATAATAGTAAAGTCTTTAATAGATAAGCAGAATTTTCAAAGTCTGACAAATTTAAGAAAACACTCTCTTATGTCTGAAAAGTTAAAAATCGTCTCTGGCCATACCACCCGGAACATGCCCAATCTCGTCTAAAAACTTAAATATCACTTCTTCTTAATTTTTGATGTCCACAAGCAGTTCAAGTCAAGAAGACTTACTCGAGTTTCATGCATGGCTTTTCTTCAAAGATTTTGCCCCATTTGTATTACCATTAGCAATAAGTTCCTGATAGTTCAAGGAACTGTTCCTTGTGTAGTCTGTGTGCTTTCAGGTGGTAATAACGTTCAGCGCCAGACCTCTGTACTACTTTCTATTCATTCATTTAATTCATGTTTTCCAATCAACTTTTTAAAAATGCCTCTGATCCCCAGGTACTACATGTTATTGTGGATACAGAGACCAAAAGACATCACCCTTGGCAAGGTGGAATCATAGACTAAGAAAGAAAATAGGCAGGTAAACAAATCCATCTTCATTTTGTTTTCAAGACTGGCTAAGAGGATTATGTGCAAAATATGCACATGATGTACAGTTTCAGTACCCACTTTATTCCTGCTTCTCATGTCAGGTGTCAGAGTAGTGGCTTTCAACCCAGCATTGATTAAACAGGACAGATATTCATGAAATCATGCCAAAGCAGTATGATGTAGCATACCCACAGGTCTATATATCACCATGTATGCACTTATCCTAATCATAGACACTGACTAAGCATCTATGCTGGGCCAGTTATATGGATAGAGAGACATGATTCAGAATATTCAAGAAAGATTTTGAATAACTTTCCTCTTTTTAATCCACATTCTAGTCCAACTACTATCCTGTATCTCTGCTCCCTTTTGTAGCAAAATTCCTCAAACTACATATCTATGCATGCACTCTACTTTTCTTCTCCAATTCTCTCTCGAACTCTCTCCAAACAGACTTTAACTCTGCAACCCCCTGGACACAGCTATTGTCAAGGTTCCCAATAATCTCTATGTTGCTAAATCCTGTGGTCGATTTGTTTCCTCACCTAACTTGTCTTAAATGCGTAATGCACATTTTTCTTTTCTTCTGGAAACACTTTCTTAACTTGGCTTAAGCCAAGTTGCTGGCTATTCCTTTACAATCTCTTTTCCTTTTTTTTTTTTTTTTTTTTTTCTCATCTGCTCTACCTCTAAGTGCTGCTGATCCCAGGGCATGGTCCTTGGCCCTCCTCTGTGTTGATAGGCATTTGAGTCATTTCTACCTTTTGGCTACTGGTACTATTGCTCACTGCCTATGTGATCTTCAGTCACATGCCTATAAATAGTACCTATATTGTTTCCAATTTTATATTTCACCTGAATTCCAGATTTGTGTATCTAACTGCCTACTCAACATTTCTATTTGCATGTCTAACCACTATGTCAAACTTAATGTCTCCAAAATTGAGCTCCTCCGTCTTCTCACCTTCACCCCCTCTGCACCTGTTCCACCAAAACTAGCTTCTCCTGCAGGATTCCCCAGCTCAATTAGTGAAAATTTCACTCTTAACATTTTCTAAGTCAATAACCTTGGACTTATTTTAGACTTCTCAGTCTTCCTACATTTCACATCTGATCCAACAGCAGACCCTGCTGGCTCTACCTTCAAAAATATATCCACAACCTGACTCTTCTCCTCACTTCTGCTTCCATCACTGGTCCAAGCCTTCATCATCTTCACCTGGAATATTGTAAAGGCCTCCTTTCTTATGCTCTTAACCTGTGCAAACTCTTCTCTGAAGCCAGCAGGATCCTGTGAAAATGTGAATTTCTTTTTTCTGCTCTGCTGCTCTAAACCTGCCTGCAGCTTCCCTTTTCACTCAAGTCCTTAGATTGGTTTGCAAGGCCCAACGGTGTCTTTTCGTAATTCCTCACCCATTACTATCTAGTTTTATCTCTTGCTTCTCCCTCTGTCACTCTTTTCAGTCACACTGGTCTCCTTACATTTCCTGGGACATTCCAAATGCATTCCCATCTCAGGGCATTCACATATGCTGTTCCTTCTCAATGGGAAACTTACTAAAACACAAGCATGTTCACCTTATGAGCAAAGCCTGCCCTTGCAACCATATATAAAGTAGCAATATTTCCCATCTACTTCACACTCTATTCTCCCACCTTATTTTATTTTACTCTATGACACTAACCATCTGACACATTCTATTTTTATTTTTTTTTAATTGCCTGACTTCCTCCTTGGAGTGTCAGCACCAGGTATGAAGGTATGTTGTCTGCATTGTGCTTGGTTTTATCCTAAAGCAACGCTGGCACAGACTAGATGCTTAATTAACATTAAGTACATGAAAGAACAACTTGAGACAAGTGAAACTTCCAGCTCTATCTGGGAAGATGAATATAATTTAGATAGTAATGGAATGTATTAGCCTTCCACGTAAGTATACATAAGTGCCATTTGAAAAATATAAACACTATACTAATGATTTAAAGATGGGATAGCAGAGCGGAGGAGTGAGCCTCAAGGGAGGTGATTAGCCAAAGGAAAATACAGGCCTTTGCTAAAGAATATCTTTCAAACACTTCTTAATAATTTTTATAATGAAAATACAAGGGTTTGATTTGTATGTCTCATAAAAATTTTCTCAGACCAAAGTGGCAGCATTACTGCTGAAGCCACATCTATGACAGCATACAGTTCCTGGAGCACATAAGAGTCCAACCATTAGGAATGGCCTCTCCTCTGAGAATCACCCAGTAGAACCCAACCAGAAAAAGACTTAACAGTCTCTTCAGATCAAGGCTGTCCAAACTTTGGGTAAGGCAAAGTGAATATCCATTGCTCTTTCTCCATGCAACCATGCAACATTGGCTTTCTCCTCCCAGAGCCACCCAAAGACAATCTTGGAAGTTGAGACAGGGAGATGTGTTTTGCTAGTGCACACTTATTTTCCACGTGTAGAGAGAGAGAATGGGGGCATCCCTGTACATAATTGGATTAACCACATTTTGTAGTTTTTCTATCTGATGATTTGTTGCTTGATGTAATGTCTATGTGACATGGCTGAATTTCTACCCTGCCTTAACTCTGCTTAATCTTAAGAAACAAGATATCTATTATAAAAAAAAAAAAAAAAAAACTTCCTTGTGTAACTAGACCAGCTGAGACTGGCTAGAACCAAAATAGCCCTCCAAATGACTCCAAAAAGATCTCAGACTTCATTATAATTTCATTTCCATGCTAAGTGACATTCCCACCAGTGCCATGACAGTTGACAATTGCCATGACAACAAACAGAAGAAGCCATAAAAAGATTAAAAGGAAGGCAGCACTCTAGCTCTGAGAAGTTCACTGCCCATTTCCAGAAAAGATATGAATATTCCTCCCCTTGCTATTAATGTCCAACTCCTTCATTAGAGATACCCTATATTTAACCCCCTTGCCCCTCACTAGTCAAGAAGTTGATTTCTGAGCTATACTCTCAATTCTCAATCCCATGGCCATTGAATAAATCTTGCTCTGCTTGATGCACACTTTTGGTTGCATGTATTGGCTTCTTGATACCAAACAGAGAAAGACCCTGTCTTTGGGGGACCGGCCTTATCAGTAACATTTTGATGTCTGAGGTTTTGCTGATTAGGGAGAGACTGCCCCTCCAGTGGTTAGCGGACCCCTAGAGAGAGCAAAGGGGTTTCTCATCAAGTGTGCCTTCATATGCAAACTAACCAGTTAAAAGCCCACACCCCTCATCTGCCTCTTCCTGCACCATGGATACTATTCCCCTTCATTAGTCAACCCAGGGCTACTGGAGACAGGGTAAGGGCCTACACTCCAGCTGACTGAAATCATTCAAACTAGCCAACCCTGAACCTGCTTAGCCTGCTTACCTTGCGCCACCAATTCCTTCCCCTGAAAACCACAATAATGCCTTTTCTGAAGTGTCCTCCCCTCTCTCTGCCTGTGACCAACCTCAGTGTTCTCTCTTGTGGCCCTACAGGGCAAGATTCCCTCCTTTTGGAAACTGTGAGTACTAAACTATCTTTTCAATGACAATTGTGTTCTCACCTTCTGGCTTCATTATTCCTGAATACAAACGAAATCCTGGGTACATTTTTAAACAATCATTTACCTTTCCTATGCTTAAAAACTAAACTATCCACTCAGACATTTTGCAATTGTACGTCAATGCAAGTGTCCTAAAACAAAGTGACATCCTTTCCTCCTGATATTGGGTTGGCTGTATAGAAATGATCACAAATTCTTATAAAACTCATCCCAGCAATGCTTCAAGCTGACACAATTTCAAAGCCTGACAGTGCCCCTTTGAACTTGCCTCACACAAAAGCTAGACTGCTTTATCCATGAACCTGCTTAGCAGTTGCGCCAGCATTGCTCTACCCAGTGACTTCTCTGTCACCTCTTCTTCACTTAATCCTTACTCTTTCTGTCACTAGCAGATCCATCTCTATTTAGCTCCACTCCTCCATCTCACTGCCCCCACACTTCTTTCCTACTCCCACCCCTGCCTGCCCTTAATGCAGCCCCAGGGTGCCCTGTGCAGTATCATTTGTGATTGTGAGGCAGGAGAGGGTCTGGTACTCACATCTGTTGAGGCAAAGCTGACCTGTAAGTGCATGGTCTCCTAGGTAAATCAGGTATAGCCAGAAATAACCCCAATTATTAGAGACATTATTAAAACTAAGAAACTATGCAACTTCTGTCCTGAATCTGCCCAACAATTATCTCAGGAGACAGTAAAACTGAAAAGACATCACACATCCTAAATTGCTATTTGTGTATGTAAACGGAGCATGGGTGGGTGGTTCTAGAGTGAGAGCTCGTGTCTCACATGAAGCCAAATACAGTTACAATTGAACTTTTTCCCTGCCTCTTTTTTTTTCTTTTTTAGCAAAAATGAAGACAAACGTCTTTACAATGTAGAGTTCTGAATTTAAGCATTAATTAATTTTGTAGGATATGTTAACATCCAAAAGTTACTCTCACTAATGATTTACTCTTAATATGATAAGAAAATGCCAAGATCCTTTGAAATCAGCCATGGAATAGGGCAGTTGCCCTTTTTGTGTAAGGTTGCCGATGCTCCAAAGGATGCTCATCATCTGCCAGGTTATGCTTATGGAAGGCTGTCATTTCAGATGCCCCTTAGAACCTCATTCCTCAATTGTTCTACTTTTGATTGATCCTTGGCAATCTGCTTAGAAGGATGCAAAACATCTACAAAGGAAGATGTTGACAGGGCAGTGTGGCGAGGTGGGTGACTTTTCTACATATTCTTTATATTATCCAAATCATTTGAAACTGGGGTCTTAGCAAAATAGCTAGAAGTACACTATATGGAAGAATTCTACTCTGGCCTCTAGAAAACAGATGTAAGATTCTGTCTATTTTCCATTTTAATTGGATAGTTTTGATTGAGTTGATTTGAATAAAATTTGACAGACTGACCAGTGTTTTGGCTAAGTTAATAGACGGTTTGGAAAACACTTTCTGTGCCTCATTTTTCTCATGGAGATAATAGTGGCTCTTAATTTAAATAGCTGTTGAGAAGATTGAAAGAGAAATTAATGAAGAGTACTTAAAACACAGCCTGGAGCTTAGTAAGTGCTCAATTAATATTAGCTATTAATATGCATGCTGCCTGCAATGGATTATTGCTAAGCATCTGGATTTCTCAAGATCCTTTCCAAATATAACTAGGATTTCTAAGTTATTTAAAATAGGTTGGAATCTGAGCCATCTGAAATGACCTATATATAGTCAATCAGTTGACTGCTATGTCCTGAGTGGCCTCTGTATACAAAGCAAGATAGTTTGAAATGGAGAAATTGTATCAGAAATAAAAACACAATATCTATCATCAAAGCACACACAAGTTAATTGCCAGATAAAACTTCCCAGCCCTAGAAGAGTTTTTCCAAATGAAAATATTTTTAAACATTTATAACAGTCCCAAGTTTTATGACTGTAATCTGCTCAGTAAAAGGAGGATGGAGAAAACATAGAATACCATTGTCTTTCTAGCCTGTAGAAAGTTTCAGTCTCTTTTTCTTAGAGTTTAGCATCAGGGAAAAATATGGGTCTTTTCTCATTGATGAACAGTATACTTACTTTCATCATAAAGTTAAAAAGATTATAGCCTTTTGAAACTAGAGAGTACTGGATTGAAATTCCATTTCCATTCTTTGTTTCCTGTGTATAAATTGTGGATAACAACAGCTCCCTCAAATGAGTGAGATGGGAATTCCTTGAGATATTATGTATTTTAAAAACCTAGCATAGTGTGAGGCATAGACTAAGTACATGATAACTTTCACTTTTCTATAACTTCTTTCCTTCTTTTATATAATTTGTCTTTCCTTTCTTTCTTTTTTTTTTCCTTGTCAGTAGGCTTCAGGTAGAATTCAATGCTGAATCACAGTAATTATATTAGCTTTTCCTCGGTTATATTTCTGCATTTCTCTACATCAGAAATATTCAAACTAGGATCCATGAATGTACTTAAAGGGGTCCATGAAGAATCCCTCAGATGCTGTTTAAGAGATGGAATTCTCGCTCTGTCACCCAGGAGTGCAGTGACACAATCATAGCTCACTGCAGCCTCAAACTCCTGGGCCGAAGCAATCCCCCAGCCTTGGCCTCTCAAGTAGCTGGGACTACAAGAATGCACAATCATATTCTGCTCCTTTTAAAAATTTTTTGTAGAGACATGGTCTCATTAAGTTGACCAGGCTTATCTCAAAATGCTAGGTTCATGCTATCTTCCTGTATCAGCTTCCCAAAGTGCTGGATTGCAGGCATGAGCCCCTGCACCCCACACCCTCACTTTTTGATTTTTATGTACTATGTGTTTAGGTTCATTATTCTGGAAAGAAGGCCCATAACTCATCATCAAAGATGTCAGTGTACAAAAACCTTTAGGAATAAATGTTCAAACTTTGTTGTTGTTGTTTTTTCTCTTGTTTGATTTTTTAGAGACAGTGTCTCTCTCAGTTGCTCAGGCTGGATGTAGTGGCACAATCAGAGCTCACTGCAGTCTTGAACTCCTGGACCAAAGCAGTCCTCCCAACTTAACCTCCTAAAGTTGTTGAATTATAGGCGTAAGCCACAGCATCAGCCAAAACGGTTTTTGATCTTCTGTTTCTACTATAATTATTTCAAGTTTTTTCCTATCAGTTGATATGGTTTTGGCATGTCCCCAACCAAATCTCATCTTGAATTGTAGCTCCAATAATCCCCACTTGTTGTGGGAGGGACCCAGTGGAAGGTAATTGAATCATCGGGGTGGGTTTATCCCATGCTCTTCTCATGATAGTGAATAAGTCTCATGAGATCTGATGGTTTTATAAAGGGCAGTTCTCCTGCACATGTTCTTTTGCCTGCTGCCATGTAAGACATGCCTTTGCTCCTCCTTCGCCTTCTGCCATGATTGAGGCCTCCTCAGCCACGTGGAACTGTGAGTCCATGTGGAATTTTCCTTTATAAATTACTTGTATTGAGGCCTCCTCAGCCATGTGAAACTGTGAGTCCACTTTCCTTTATAAATTACCCAGTCTGGGGTATGTCTTTATTAGCAGTGTGAGAACAGATTTAGGATTTAGGAAAGGCAAATGTTAATATTAAGTAACTAATTAATATAACAAATAGATGCTATTTCCATTCTTGTTGTATCAATTTCTCCTTTCTACTTAACAACAATCAGGTCTATGGGAAAAACAACAAGAATGGTTTGCTGTTACCTCTGCTTTTGTTACATAATTCATAACTATCAATTATTTGGAGATTGCTTGCTGCTGCCAAATGTTTTATGCTTTTCCTGAGGCCATGAAGTAGTAAGCAGAAGTAAAATGAATTCGTCTTGGTGTCCGCTATCACACGGCCTATCCCAGAAACATGTATGTTTATTTGAATCAATTTAATTAAAATCATAATCCATCCTTGCCATATATAAAACATATATAGTAAGATAAACATATTTTCAAACAATAGTGACATCTGAGTTACTTCACAAAGTGGTTTTTTTGGTGAAAATGTTTTTCATTATTTATTCAATTAATATTAACAAAGGGGGCCAGGCACAGTAGTTTACACTTGTAATCCCAGCACTTTGGGAGGCAGAGGCAGGACGATCACCTGAAGTCAGAAGGGTGAGACCAGCCTGACCAACATGGTAAAACCCCATCTCTATTAAAAATACAAAAATTAGCCAGGTGTAGTGGCACACACCTCTAGTCCCAGCTACTCAGGAGGCTAAGGTAGGTGAATCACCTGAACTCAGGAGGCAGAGGTTGCAGTGAGCCGAGAACATGCCACTGCACTCCAGCCTGGGCAACAGCAACAGTGAGACTCTGTCTCAATAATAATAATAATCATAATCATAATCATAATCATAATAATGAAGGTATTATTATGGGCCTAGAACTGTGTTAGTACTGCATATAATTGGAGGGCAACATTTTTTTTTCAGTTTTGTTGAGGTATAATAGAGAAATTAAATTATGTATGTTTAAAGTATACTCTGTGATGATTTGATATACATATACTTTGTGAAATGATTACCAAAACCACTATGAAGTTAGTTAACATATCCCTCATTTCACATAGTTATCCTTTTTTGCATATGTGGTGAAAACTCTTAAGATTTATTCCCTTAGCAACTTTCAAGTATATGACACAGCATTGCTAACTATGGTCACCATGCTGTACCTTCAGTCCCCAGAACTTACTCATCTTTTAAATGAAAGTCTGTACCCTTTCACCGACATCTCTCACCCCTGATCCCTGCTAACCACTGCTCTATTATCTACTTCTATGAGTTTAACTTTTTAAGATTTCACATAAGTGAGATCACATAGTATTCGGTTTTCTCTGCCTCACAAAGTTTTTAACAAATATTAACTTAATACTGAGCATAGCCAGACACTGTTTCAGACATTGGAGAGACAACAGGGAAGAAAACAAAATCCTTCCCTCATTGAATTTATGTTCCTGTGGAAGAGTCCATCAGTAAACAAATAAATAAGTAAATACTAAATCATGACCAATCTTGATATGTGCCATCATGTAAAGAAAAAAAAACAGGGGTGTGTGTGTGTCTGGCAGGGACATGGTACCAGGATTGTCATTTTACATGGTTCCAGGGTGGTCATGGGACATCTCTCTAAAAAAGTGATGGTTGATCCAAGACTCAAACAAAGAGAGGGAGAAAACAACATGGGACATTTGCAGGAAGAGAATTTTAGACAACAGGGATAGTTAGTGCAAAGGCCTTGTGGCAAGAGCACGCTTGGGTGGGTTCCAGGAAGAGTGAGGTGATTAATGTGGTCAAAGAGGAGTGTAGGAGGAGTAGGAAAGCTAAGGTACAGAAGAGACAAGTCAGGTGGCCCTGGAGCACACCTGTCACTCTAAGGCTATTGGCTTTCCATCTGAGGAATATGGAAAGTCCTTGAAGGGTATGAGCATGGGAGTGATTTGATGTGACTTGAGTTTGCTTTTGTTTTTTGAGATGGAGTCGCGCTCTGTCACCCAGGCTGGAGTGCAGTGGTGCGATCTCAGCTCACTGCAACCTCCACCTCCTGGGTTCAAGCAATTCTTTGCTTCAGCCACCTGAGTAGCTGGGATTACAGGTGTCTGCCATCACGCCTGGCTAATTTTTGTATTTTTGGTAGAGACAGAGTTTCACCATCGTGGCCAGGCTGGCCTTGAACTACTGACCTTGTGATCTACCTGTCTCGGCCTCCCAAAGTGCTGGGATTATAGGTGTGAGCCAACGCGCCCTGCCTGACTTGGGTTTTAAATGAATTGATAAAATGCCTAATACAATGCATGTGGAACATTTTATATTCCACCTACTTTCATGAAGTACCTGAGGTAATTTGCAATAAATAATAGAAAGTATTTCTTCTGACTCTAGAAAGTCAATTGTGGAGCTGACTGAAGATGGAAGGATGAATTAAGTTGCTCGATATCTCTTTCTGTCCTTTGGTTTTTTAAATCAAACCCAGAAAATAATTTGTAGCCAACTAATATTCATATACTTAGTGACTAAGCTGTTAAAAGTGTGGATTTTACAGAATTAAATGTTGACTTTTTAATTTAGTAATAGTTTTTTCTTTATTATTTTATATTTGAAAATCTCTTAAGCATTTGTTCTTCCACTGAATTCAGGAAACCATGCTGTTTTATTATCTGAGATGGGTTATACAGACCACCATAACAGAACCAAGACTTTCCAATAAACCGCAAATTAAGATAGAATGGTAGAAGTCATTCAAAGGAAGATGTACACTGCAAATAAATTAAATCAAATTGTTTATCTATTATCCTCAAGGATGATAGAAGGAAAACAATGAGAAACAAAGTTAAGCATTTGCCCTAATTTTTTTTGGAACCTAAACTTTAAAACCCCCACCTGCAAAGCTAGGTCTTTTGTTCCGTATGAGCCACAGTTAGCTCAGCCAGGAGGCTACCACAGGAAACCCTGATGGAGAAAGTTAGATCTGCTGAGCTGACAAAACTATGTCTGCAAAGATGGAATGGTAACTAGTGAGAGAGTTATGAAAAATGATCTCCCAAAGCTGGAAGTAATAAAATGAGTGCCTACTAAAAACTAGTCCATTTGTTGCAGGTGGACAAGCAAGGTCCTGAAATTGGGGCTTAACCCATGAGGGTTCTTGGCTTCACCTAGGAAAAATTTAAGAGCCAGCCAGCGGTGTTAGCAACTTTTTTATTTTTGAGACAGAGTCTTGCTCTGTCACCAGGCTGGAGTGCGGTAGTGCGATCTCAGCTCACTGCAACCTCCGACTCCCTGGTTCAAGCAATTCTTCTGCCTCAGCCTCCTAAGTAGTTGGCATTACAGGCACATGCCACCGTGCCCAGATAAATTTTTTAATTTTTTTTTTTTTTTGAGATTAAGTTTCACTCTTGCTGCCCAGGCTGGCGCAAAATGTTGCGATCTTGGCTAACTTTAACCTCCGCCTCCTGGGTTCAAGTGATTCTCCTGCCTCAGCCTCCCGAGTAGCTGGGATTACAGGTGCCCACCACCACGCCTAGCTAATTTTTTGTATCTTTAGTAGAGACAGGGTTTCACCATGCTGACCAGGCTGGTCTTCATCTCCTGACCTCATGATCTGCATTCCTCGGCATCCCAAAGCGCTGGGATTACAGGGGTGAGCCACCACGCCCAGCCTAGACAGCAACTTTTATTCAACAAGAGCTGCTCCTTGCAAAGCAGAGCCAACCCATAGGTAGTGACCCAGATTCAGCACTTGTGAGCTATTGGTTAGCAGCATTTACATTCACTTTTAATTACATGCAAATTAAGAGGCTGATTATTCAGAAGTCTCTAGAAAAGGGGCTAGTAATTTCTGGATCATTGCCATCCTGCTGGGTCATTTACATGACAAATATAAATTGTCAAGCTTTGGTGGGAGTATCTTATGTTAATGAGCAATGAGAACAATTAGAGGTTGGTTGCTTTTGGCGCCATCTGCTGGTTCCAGACTTTTTTTTTTTTTTTTAAATCCAGACGGAGTCTCGCTCTGTCACCCAGGCTGGAGTGCAGTGGCGCGATCTCGGCTCACTGCAAGCTCTGCCTCCCGGGTTCACACCATTCTCCTGCCTCAGCTTCCCAAGTAGCTGCGACTACAGGCACCTGCCACCACGCCTGGCTAATTTTTTGTATTTTTAGTAGAGATGGGGTTTCACTGTGTTAGCCAGGATGGTCTCGATCTCGTGATCTTGTGATCCGCCCACCTTGGCCTCCCAAAGTGCTGGGATTACAGGCGTGAGCCACCGCACCTGGCCTCCAGACATATTTTAACTTTATCCTTTCAAGACTGGGAAATAAGTCCTGCTGCTCTCCTAGCTCACATTCAGTCCAATGTGATTAATTTCCAGAGGAATTGTTGCTCTTAAATTAAAACAATCTATTAAATTTCATTCATTTGTACTGCCATTGCTTTCTCTCTCAGGCCTTTGTGTAGAAGGAAAGCCAGAAAAGGATGACTATGTAAGACTTTTTAAAAACCCCTTATGGCAAAGTGCTTTTATGTCACTTGGCCAGTGTGAGAAAGCAAATCCACAAACCATAGGCCCATTTGATTAGGAAATTTCAGAATGTCACTTACAGCTTCAGGAGATAGTAGCTCAATCTAAAACAAAACTGTTGACAGAATTTTGAAAGTTGTGTAATCGTATTTATAATCTCTGTCTCAAAGAGAGATCCAAACAAAAGAAACCACCATGTCATAATTAATGACAAGATATACTGACCAATGGCAAGGCTGTCCCTTCTTTTGAAGGCTCAAACGATTTGAAGAGTTTGAATACAGATACCTTAAATCCACTTAGACAGGGACATATTGTTATCCCCTTTCCCTTGGTCAGCTAATTCAGCAAGAACATTCTGTAGTGTGTGCTCCTGTAGTTTTAAGACTGAACCTTAAAAGTGAAAGCAAGACAATATACTGTGGATGAAATTTGCCAGAGAACACTGGGACTAGTTGTTTTGCATGTCTCAAGTAATAAGTTAGTGACTGGTTGTACTGTGTCCCTTGTAACCATTCCTGACTGCTGCATTTAGCAGGAAAGCCTTCATCTGGGACCAGAGTTAGGGATCTGCTTTGGGGATGTAAGAAGCACACAGTGCTTCTTACCCAGCAAGAAGACCAGGCATCCCAAAGCTTTTCCACAAGGATATACCATCCTCACACCTGTGCCTTTTACTAGGCCATCAACTGTAGTTTATTTAAAATGGAGCAAAAAGGCTCAGGCTCTCCCTCTCCCCTCTCCCCTCTCCCCTCTCCCCACGGTGTCCCTCTCCCTCTCTTTCCACGGTCTCCCTCTGATGCCAAGCCGCAGCTGGACTGTACTGCCGCCATCTCTGCTCACTGCAACCTCCCTGCCTGATTCTCCTGCCTCAGCCTGCCGAGTGCCTGCGATTGCAGGCGCACGCCGCCACGCCTGACTGGTTTTCGTGTTTTTTTGGTGGAGACGGGGTTTCACTGTGTTGGCCGGGCTGGTCTCCAGCTCCTAACCGCGAGTGATCCGCCAGCCTCGGCCTCCCAAGGTGCTGGGATTGCAGACGGAGTCTCGTTCACTCAGTGCTCAATGGTGCCCAGGCTGGAGTGCAGTGGCGTGATCTCGGCTCGCTACAACCTCCACCTCCCAGCTGCCTGCCTTGGCCTCCCAAAGTGCCCAGATTGCAGCCTCTGCCCGGCTGCCACCCCGTCTGGGAAGTGAGGAGCATCTCTGCCTGGCCACCCATCGTCTGGGATGTGAGGAGCCCCTCTGCCTGGCTGCCCAGTTTGGAAAGTGAGGAGCATCTCTGCCCGGCCGTCATCCCACCTAGGAAGTGAGGAGCGCCTCTTCCCAGCCGCCATCCCATCTAGGAAGTGAGGAGCGTCTCTGCCCGGCCGCCCATTGTCTGGGATGTGGGGAGCTCCTCTGCCCGGCCGCGACCCCGTCTGGGAGGTGGGGAGCGTCTCTGCCCAGCCACCCCATCTGAGAAGTGAGGAGACCCTCCGCCCAGCAGCCACCCTGTCTAAGAAGTGAGGAGCCCCTCTGCCCGGCAGCCGCCCCGTCTGAGAAGTGAGGAGCCCCTCCGCCCGGCAGCCACCCCGTCTGGGAAGTGAGGAGCATCTCCGCCTGGCAGCCACCCCGTCCGGGAGGGAGGTGGGGGTCAGCCCCCACCCGGCAGGCCGCCCCCTCCGGGAGGGAGGTAGAGGTGAGCCCCCGCCAGGCAGGCCACCCTGTCCGGGAGGGAGGTGGGGGGTCAGCCCCCGCCCGGCCAGCCGCCCCGTCCGGGAGGTGAGGGGCGCCTCTGCCCGGCTGCCCCTACTGGGAAGTGAGGAGCCCCTCTGTCCGGCCACCACCCCGTCTGGGAGGTGTACCCAACAGCTCATTGAGAACGGGCCATGATGACAATGGCGGTTTTGTGGAATAGAAAAAGGGGAAAGGTGGGGAAAAGATTGAGAAATCGGATGGTTGCTGTGTCTGTGTAGAAAGAAGTAGACATGGGAGACTTTTCATTTTGTTCTGTACTAAGAAAAATTCTTTTGCCTTGGGATCCTGTTGATCTATGACCTTGCCCCCAGCCCTGTGCTCTCTGAAACATGTGCTGTGTCCACTCACGGTTAAATGGATTAAGGGTGGTGCAAGATGTGCTTTGTTAAACATATGCTTGAAGGCAGCATGCTCATTAAGAATCATCACCACTCCCTAATCTCAAGTACCCAGGGACACAAACACTGCGGAAGGCTGCAGGGTCCTCTGCCTAGGAAGGCCAGAGACCTTTGTTCACTTGTTTGTCTGCTGACCTTCCCTCCACTATTGTCCTATGACCCTGCCAAATCCCCCTCTGCGAGAAACACCCAAGAATGATCAATAAAAATAAAATAAAATAAAATAAAATGGAGCAAAAAGAAAAAGAGTTTTCAAAATCCTCTTTTAAAAAACAAGAATAGGCACCTACTAAAAATATTAAAATCTCAATTTAAAAACCTCTCACTGAACCCTGAAAGTTTATCAGTTTAAAAAACAAATGCATTAAAAAAAAAACCCCGTAGAATATGTCATGTCTTAGAGAATGAGCTCACAGTGATTCATTCCTAACATGGTTCTTAGGGGTAGCAACAGAGGGTGGTCCCTAGTCTAAAAGCCTAAGGGCACAGAGTGCAATCTCTGCCAAAGGCTTAAATTTCTATTTCAGGCATACAAAATTTATTCTAACTGATATGTATATCTTCATGGAAAAAAGGATTCCAAAGCTCATCAGAAATAATAAAAGTAAAAAGAACATTCAAAATATTATTTTGAAAAAAATGGAAGGGGAATTTATCCATGAAATATTCAAAAATACAGGAAAACTACACTAAGCAAGAATGAAACTGCTGCTACAAATAGGTAGCTTCATGGAAGAGTAGAGAAAGCCCAGAAACAGAAGCAAATCTAAATGAATTCTTAGTATACCATAAAGGCAGCATTTCAAAGACTAATTAAATAGCAAGTGATGCTGGTAAAGTGAAGTCTCCATAAATTAGGTCCTTATATTTCACCTATGCCACACTAAGTTCCATGGCTGAAACACACCCATACACACACACACACACACACACACACACACACACACACGGGAAGGGAGTACAAAACAGAGAGGAAGGAGGGGAGTTGGGGAGGAAGGGAGAGAGGAAGGAGGGAGAAGAAAGTATCCCCAGGCAAAACATCAAATACAGAAACCATAAAGATAATGCATTTAACTAGATAACTGTATTAAACTTCTTTTTTATCAAAGTTAATAAATAATAAAATAAAAAATAAAGTCTATTACAAATTGAAAAATATATTTGTAACATAGGCTTAAATGTTATCTCTCTAATACAGAAAGAGACCTTTCAGATTAATACACAAAATATCAACAGTATTAGAAAAATTGGTAAAGGACATTTATTACTCATTCATTCAACAATTATTTGTCAACTATCTAATCTATGGCAGCTGTTATTCAATGTTGACAGCACTGAAGAAAATAGAAGAATACATTTAAAAAAACACATAATATAAGACAGGTAAGTACTATGGAAAATAAAAACCTAAGCCAGGCACTGGCATGAAGGAAGAAGTAATTACGTGGAACAGAGTGATCAAAGGAAGCCTCTCATAACCTAGTAATCAATAAATGATGAAATCGAATGGACAATTTATAAACACTTCACAAAAATTCATAGAAATGCAAAAAATGCAAGATAAATTTTCTTCCCCATCAAATTAGTAATAATTGAAAGAAACTATAAAATTTGTATTTGTCAGAGTAAGGAAGTTAGCACTTGTATACAGAAACTAAATTAACTTTCACACAAATTCGAGCATTTTTGTAGGGATAAAAAGAAATAAATATGATACAAATGTGTTTTCTTATAATTCTAAACAATAAAATAAAAACAATATAAACATTCTGGCTACTAAAGGAAAGCAAATTATCTTTAATCTGAACACCCTTATAGAGCTCTTTTTATTTTTCTATATTCTATTCCTGTCTTTTTTAGGTAGTTTCTACTATGGTGACTGTAAAATTTTATAAATTAGCACTTTATTTTACACATTTCTTTATGTAGCAACATACCTATTGTTTTATTGGTTCAATAGGATGCCAGTAAATGAATATACCTTTCTCCACTATTGAAGGTCTAGATCTGTGGTCAACTATTAATGGCAAGACTGACAATTCGCTCCTAGTATAAGCTCTTCACCACTCATTTCGGACATAATCACCAACAATGATCTAATTAAAACTAACAAAAATTTAGCTTAAAAAAAATCTAACTTTTAAAGAAGACTGCCTGAAAGATGGATTTATATTATATCTACCACCACAATAAACCTCTATGTGTATTGAGTACTTATTATACCTCCAAGTACTGACTGATAGAATGAAGCCATCACAATTAGTCAGAATTTTCTTTTTAAAAAGCATCTATACTCTGAAGATACAAGACATACTTCTACATTTCCCCACCAGTATTTATAATCATGTAAAATCCAATTCTGTATTTACAAAATTACACCAATTTGAAGATAAAGTTTAGAACCTTCTTCTAGGTTTTGTGCTTAATAACAAAGACAAAATATACTATCATTAAGAAAGCACATCATTCACTGTCGTGTCAGGATTTTTAAAAAATGAAATAAGCAGAAAATAATGTGGTCAATTTTTTGTCCGTAATTAGTGTTGGAATATTCATAGAAAACATTGCTAAAGAATTGAAAAAATGAGTATTATGTGGGAGGTTTGCTATAGAGTTGGCTGAAATTACAATTAAAAGTAATGTCTCAGCTTATGGTATTTTCTGGGTTCTGTTTTAATAATGAAACAGCTTTTTCTGAGCTATTTAAAGGTACTGAAGAAGATATATTATCAAAGTAGAAATTACATTATGGAAAAACCATATAAATGTAATCTTGATATAACTGATTTAAGTTCAGTTTCCTTTACAAAATTGTTTTAAGTAAAATTACAGGTGCAATAGCACATTTGAAATTAATTTATTGGATTATTAGTCTTTTTGGCACAGAAGGTGAAAATAGACATGCATAAAGTGCTACAGAATGTTATTGGTATGGTTAATTTTATGTATTTTAAGAGATCCTCAAATTATAGTGTCATACAATATTGTGTAATGAAATAAATAAGAAATGACCTTAAAAATCTTTTATATCCTAAAAAGGTTTTCTGGTCATTTTGTGCCAAGTACCTAAGAGATTTGCCAAGCAAACATAAAGGTGCATTGTTCATTTTCCTTTTTCAAAAAGGCACACGTTCATTTTGTTTTTAATTTCTGTAATGACAAATTCACACCCATATTCTGCTAGCTAACAGAAATTTTCAGAAAAACAAACACTAAATATTTAACTTGAAGATATTTTACCAATAAATGAAAAAGTAGCTGCTACTATTTGGAAGAAAATGTCGCAAAGGAGAGAACATTTAAAAACAGATTGCTTTGAAATGTTTTCATATTACGTGATTTTAATGCCCAAAATATAAATGTGTCACTTGTAAAATCTCTCTTCTCTATGTGCTTAAAACAGAAGCAGAATTTTGTAACCCACTTAGTAATATTTTAGTTAAAAAAATTTCAATAAAGAGCTACAGTTGGATATAACATACTTAGATTATCTATTTAACTCGTAATGTCAACAGACTGACATGGGGACAGATTGAGATTTTAACAAAACCAGTTGTCTTTGTTTTGTGGTAGAGAGTTTGAAAAACTAGTAGCGCAATTCAATAAGTGAGGTCAATATTGCATTCCCTTTCAGCCAATGTCTTTGTGTAGTAAATTTTTCAAGTATGACAAGCATTAAAATGTCAGCCAAGGTAAATTGATTAACAATTTATGATAATGAATGGAATACAAGGAATGAATTATTGATATACATATCAACATGGATAAATCTCAGAATCACTTATCTGAATGAAAGAAGCTATGCAAAAAAAAGTACGTACTGTGTGATTTAATTCATATAAATTCTAGAATATTTAAACTAATTTATAGTGACAAAGAATTTCATTAGTTGCCTGGGAGTGGGACGAAGGAAGGGATAGTTTGCACAAGGACAAGAGGAAATTTTATTTTGAAGAGAGTGATAGAAATGTCTATCATTTTAACGGTGGTAATTCTTTCAAAGATGTATACGTGTCACATATTATCAAATTGTACGATTAAAATGTGTACAGTTTATTTTGCATCAATTGTATCTCAATAAAGTTGTAAAAAATCAAAATAACATCAATGAAAAGCATAAACTATAAATGAAAAAATAATAAATTCAACTTAATCAAAATTTAAAAATTTCTCTTTCAAAAGACACTATTAAGAAGACAGGCCACAAATATGGAGTACATATTTGTAAAGCACATATCTCATAAAGGACCGGTATCCAGAATATGTAAGGAATACTTAGAAATCAGTAATAAAAAGACAAAAAACTCAATTTAATAAATGGACAAAAGATTTGAAGAGTTTACTATAGAAGAGATACAGATGGCAAAATGAACACAAAAATACTCAGTATTATTAATCATTAAGGATATTTAAATAAAACTCAATAAAATATCCTTTTTTTTTTTTTACTGTTTTAGTTTATTTGGGCTGCCATAACAAAGTACCACAGACTAGATGTGTTTGACAACAGAAATTTATTTTCTCACAATTCTGTAGGCTGGAAGTTCAAGGTCAATGTGTTGATATGGTTGGTTTTTTTCTGAGGTTTCTCCCCTTGGCTTATTGATGGCCGTCTTCGCCCTGTGTCTTCACAAGTTCATCCCTCTGTAACCGTTTATGTCCTAATCAATCTTCTCTTATTTCTTTCAAATTGAATACTTTATTAAAATGGTAGTTGTCTTTCTAACATGTGCACACATCCTTGCACACTCAGAATGATCTGCCTGGGGGAAAAGTACTGAGTATGCCTAAGGAGAAAATGAAAAACAAATTGCTGTAGGGTTTTCATTATTACAGGCAATTATGTCCAGATGACTTACAAAGCTATTGCCAAATCCATCCAAGGAAGCAGAGTATGAAAAGGAGGGAAAATATTTTAAAAATTCAACAGTGGCATAGCAGAACTCTCAATATAAGAAAGTGACACAATGTGGACTTTTGCTGTGAATTTTCACTTTGTAAATATGGGGAGAGGTTAACCAATGGGCAGAAAATTAGAGAAGGTGATATGTGATAGGCTTTTTGCAGTCAATATTTCTCACAGTATTGTGCAAGATCGTCAAGAAAATGCTTAGTTATTCTCTGGAACCAGTTTTAGAACTTTTCCATTTGCAAGTCTTGCCCTCATCTGTTAAGGTAAAATGACGCACCTGAGGAAGTCTTTAAAGGTCTCAAGGCAGATGGTTCCTGCTCTCCTTAAATGAGCAATGCATACTTGATCTTGCTTCACAAAACAGGGTTGAGTCTTATTTTCTATCTACCAAGCAGATTTAGGCTGTTATTTTGACTTCCTCGATACAGGTGTGAATTTGCAGCACTGAATTAAATTCTGGGCAGATGACAGATCTATGCTCTGTAATCACTATCTAAGCACCGAATGTGCCTCCAGAATGACCACGATTATTAACATCACAAAGTATTAATCCTGGAAGAATTTCCTCTTCTTCAACTCCTTTCAGTCTGATTTTGAGCTTTTCATCTGGGGCTACAGTATCAGCTTCTACATCATTGGCAAGTGTTCCAAGACCTTCCACATTGTGCTTTTCTGGCATCATCACAAGCTGCTGGCCTTTACAAACAGACCGCCTGATTCCAGCTTTCCCAGGACAACAGTGCCCATATCCTTGTACTTACCCAAAATTGGCAGCCTGATTGGTACAGCAACTGATCTATTGAAGTCTGACAAATTACCTAGATATGTAATAAACAGTAATCCAATGTACTAAGTACAGAAATTCAATTGCTCTTTGAAATTTCCTCCAGTTAGTCCTGAGCAGGCATAAAGTGAATGCAGTTTTTGGGAGTGAAGCCAACTTTTTTCAAAATGGCACTAGTTTCTCTTTATATTCTTCATATCTCTCATTGCTCCAATTTGCTCTTGGATCATTCATCTTATTAATAAATAGAATTAAGTGTTTCACACTTGCTGCCTTTGCTAACATTGCACGTTCTCTTGTTTGTCCTTTTATCAAATCCAATTTCAAGCTCTCTTCTCCTGGCTGAGATTACCAGCGCAGCCAAATCAGCTTGAGAGACACCACCAATTGTATTTGGGATGAAGCTCTTGTGACCAGAGGCATCTAGAATTGTAAAATATTTATTTTCAGTTTCAAAATAGGCAAAACCCGCTTCTATTATTTTATCCTTGTCTCAATTTTCCTGATTTGTGTCTAAGAGTCAAGACAAGTACTAAGTTTCTCTGTTTCTTTTTTAACTTCTGTTTCATACATTTCAAATACCCTGTTTTCACCCATTTCAGTCAAATACAGTATTTGTCTTCCAGTGGTTGAATTGCCAGCATCTACATGTGCAATGTACACTGCATTTTCTTTTGAGACAAGACCTCTCTCTGTTACCCAGGCTGGAGTGCTGTGGCATGAGGGGCTTAATGTAACCTTGAACTCCTGGGCTCATATGATCTTCCCAACTCAGCCTTTGGAGTAGCTGGGACTACTGGTGCACACCACCATGTGCCATGCACCAGTATTTTTTTTCTTTTAAGAGATGGGGTCTTGCTGTGTGGCCCAGGGTGTTGCTCTTGGACTCCGGGCTTCAAGCAATCCTCTCACCTTAGCCTCCCAAAGTGCTAGGATTACAGGCCTGAGTGCCTTTTAGGAGTGCATGGTGACACAACCACAGATTTAGGTTTTGGTATTTCATCTTCCTTCTTCATTATTTCCTGGACACTTTTCTCTGGTGGCCTTACATCTCCCCAGGAACCATCTCCTGGCTCTGCTTCACTTATTTCTTCTACGTGCTTCCCTAATCTTCTCGTCTTATGAGGAGACCAGTCATTTTGGATTAGGACTCACACTAGTAACTTCATTTTAACTTGATTACCTCTCTAAAGACCCTATCACCAAATAAGATCACACTCTGAGGTACTGGGTGTTAGGACTGCCACATATGAATTTTGGAGGGATACCATTCAGCCCGTAACACAGACTTACTAGAATGACCAAAAAAAAAAAATACTTTTATTGGATATATAAAGTGCTAGTGAGGATGTGGAAGACTAGGATGCTCATTCACTGCTGGTGGTGATATGTAATGGTTTGCCCACTTTAGAAAACATGCACTTACCATATAAGCAGAAATATCACTGTTAGGTATTTACCCAAGAGAATTAAAACATATATTCACACAGAGACTGTATACAATTTTTTATAGCAGTCATATTCATAATAGCCCAAAACTGCAAACAACCAGAATATCCATCAACTGATGAATGAATTGTTGTATATCTATATAAGAAATACTACCCATAAATAAAACAGTAATAAACTACCGATAAATTCAACAGGATGTTTAAACCTCAAAAGCATTATGCAACATGAAAGAAGCCAGATACAAAAGTGCTACAATGTATAAGACTCTCCGGAAAAGGAAAAGTTCTGGCTCTCATCAGCACTGATTGGCATAATCTTAGTTGCTCTTTATTATATGGAGGAAGACTCTTTTCATTATTTTTGTTAGATTTGTGAAAACCAAAGGGAAAAAATTATAGGGAGAGAAATTGAGTAATTGCCAGGAGCTGGGGTTAGGGGCAGGAAATTGATTGAAAAGAGGAACAGGGAGACTTCTTGAGGTTAGGGAAATATTCTTTATCTTGATTGTGGTAGTGGTTAGAGAACTACATACATTTGTCAAAACTCATTAAACTGTATTCTTTAAAAGAATGAATTTGACTGTGCAAATTTTGTCAAAATAAGCTTGATTTTTAAAAAGTATTAAAAACAGTGGTCTTAAATGAAGACCATGGAATTGCTGCAATAGATAATATTAAATCAACATTTTCAAAAATAGAAGGTATACTCAATCACTATGTCCTAACCAAAAAATATTACTGATGACATTTTAATTCATCCTTTTTCAATTTCTCTTGTGTGTATGCCTATATAATATATATTATCATGTAATAGAATATATTAACACATCAGTACATGTGTATAATTTACACATAAATAACTGGACATGTAAAAGATATGCATGCAAAAATTTTGTTTAAACTTAAGGCAGGCACACTCAGACATTTTGGATATCCCTCATATAGTTACTTCTAATTTTATTTTAATAAATAATTCTCAAATTAGTATCTCTGTGCTTGGAGCTTTTATCATCATTTTGGATTTTTTTTTTAAGAAAGAATGACAAAATTTGAATTAATGTGTCAAAGTTTATCTGTCTCATGAAATATATAGATTCAATTATTTTTCAAAGTTCTTGAACCAGTTTACATTGACACAAACAATTAATGAAAGTGCCTGTTTCATCGTATACTCTTGTCAGCACTGATTGACATAATCTTAGTTGTTCTTTATTATATTGTGGAAAACTATTATTTTTGTTATATTTTAAAAAATAGTAAATTACTTTTAGCAAATGTCTTTTAGCAAACTATTAAAGTCTTATAAATCTGGCTTTCCCTATTGATATAGTATATTATGTGCATTGATGTTCTTACATTAAACCATCTTTACAATACTGAATAGAATGTACAATTTCAAATGCCTGCTGGCAAAGCTGGCCCAGTAATTTTTAGTTGGTAATGACTAATCATAGCCTTCGCAGGAAACTCCTAACTACCTCTCCTTCCAGAACCCAGACTTTTAATAAATTTGTTGCCTCATCCTTAGAGCTATTTACCTTCCCTCATTCTCTCAGATACCTGCCTATATTTCTTCACAAAGTTATTATTTTTATAGTAAGTCAGTTTCTTTACCATCTTGAAAACAGTTGCATGGTCTCCATGTTTTGGATACTCTGAGCAGGATTTCACTGAGACTCTGTCCAATGCAATCTTCCGGAACAGAACAACTTTCCCTTCCAAGATTTCAGGCCTCTTACTTAAACCTCGAGCTTTTATTGAGCCCTGTAAGTGTGGTGATCAACCACCCATTGAGTAGTGCAGCCAAAATTACAGTTTTTATCAAGGAGTGCAGAGATGCTATCTAAATATGTTTTATCATCCTTTCTACCCATCTGAGGGGAGCTTTAATGTACACAACAGAGCCAAATGGAAATATACTACAGCATGACTTAACAACTCTTCGCCATTTTAAAGACTGAAAACAAACAGCAGCACCACAGAAATAAATAAAATAAATAAATAAATAAATAAGCTAACCAATAAGGAAAATCATTTTCGGTACTTAACACTGAATAAATCTTGTTAAGATCCTCAGACTGACATTTATTGAAACAGTTCTTTGAAGCCAACAACACAAAGCAGCCAATAGTGGTTAAACAATGCTTTTTATTTCCCCAGGGTTGGAAATCTGGAATTCTCAATTCCGATTATATATCAAAACAATGTATACAGCTTTTACAGGTATACTCGGGCCCAACACTCAGGTGATTTCTTTAGTAAGTCTGGAATGAGGATTATGCATCTGCATTTTTAATAAGCTGCAGGTATGATTCTGATGCTTAGTCAAGATGTTAAATTATTGGTTTAAATTCTGGGGATCAGATGGGCTTGGAAAAACAATTCTTTCCAGAAAGCTTAATACAAAAAAATTTCTAAATTCTACAAGTACCAGAGCTTTTAGGCAGCTAATCAATTTATGCCTTGATAAGACAAATAGACCCTTTTGCCAAGGGTTAACAATCTTGATACAATTCCCAGAGTTATTCTGTACAGGATCAACATATGTATTAGGTAACCTGAGGATCAGAGATTGTCTGTGGACATTATCTGTCCTGCCTGCCCTCTGCTGGCATGAAGCTGGACAATTGACAGAATGTGCACTTAGCTTGACAAGGCAGTCATTTTCATGGAAGAAATGTTTTGGTTCATGCCAGGCATAGTAGTATTTGGAAGGCCTAGAAATAACATATAAAATGACTTGGAGATTCTGGAGAGTGAAATAATCTCAAGTTTTTTTAAACCCATCTGTTCAGCTGTGCACTTCTTCAAGTCAGAGATGCTTGACCTCTGAAAAGCAACCATATCTAAAACAGCCAAGTTGGACCCAGAGAGGAAGCAGCAGACCCTGTTGGCCAACTAATACTGGAAAATCAAGACGAGAGGGAGGCATTGGCAAGGCAAGAACTTGAGGAGGAAAGTTATCTGTCTATTGATAGAAGAGAGGGGGAATCTTTTTCTAAGGGCACTGTAACCAAAATTTCAGCATTATGGAGAGAGGAAGATGGCAGTATCCAAGAAGAAAAAGACTACTGGCTCTGTTGAAAGAACTATTGTACTTGGAATGCAAGTCAGTGGAAGATAGTATAAAAAAGAGACTTGGTCCCAGCAGACAAGTGACACAGTAACCAGGGTCCCAATGGGCCTTAGTTATCTGGACATATTCCTCTCCTGCCTTTTGCCTTCCTTAACAAGCTGACCCAAGTCATGTAACAGGTAGGGGAGGGCTCTCGTAACTTAGCTGACCAGGCTGAATTGCTAACCATAAAAGGAAGCATCTGACCATTTATCTCTTTGAGGGATGGATGCCTTCTGAGGTTGCTGAAGCAAGACTCTAGCATTCCCAATATAAACCTGGGACCATTTTTGTTTTCTTAGGCAGCATATGCAGCTGCCAGAAGACAAGATGGACTCCAATCCTGACCCTCCATTGACTTTTTCCTCATTATAATCTCATTGAAATACTAAAATCTCCACTGACAATGAGGCTTATCCCCCCATTTTCTAGTCATGTGATACATGTTAGAGCATGATGCCCCACTATGCAAGTGTATAAAAAAACCCATCTAAACATTGCTTGTACATCATTCCTTTTCCTACAACACCTTCCTTAAAATGATGAGAACTGAGCCCCTTGGGGAGCTAGTACCAGGATTCCTTTCCTATATGCTGCTTCCTTGTATGTTTGATTCACAAATCTATTAAATCGTGGCCGAGAAAAATTTCTGTTTATCCTGGTGTTAATTTCTACTTATGCAAGAACCAATAAATGTGGGGTCCGGGCTGCAGTAACAGCCTTGGTGACTCTGCTGGAGCCCATAAGTGAGGATATTTCCCTAAGGAGAAGCACCAGAGAGCCAGCAAGACCTCCAGAATGTGACCTTGTGATAGATGAAGTGGCCACTTGAAATATTTGCTTCAGTGTTTCTACAGCCAGTGAGTCCTCTCTTGGCCCAAGGTACTTTTGTTCTCCTTCTGAGCCCTGCCCCTCATTTTCTTTTCCCTCTTGATTGGCTTAGGGATTTCTGGAGTAAGAGGTCCTAGTCACCTCTGTGCTAGGTTTTAAGAACCCCTCAGACTGGCTGACATCAGATTCTGAGTAGTTTCCAACAAACCTGCTAGACTGGTTGAGGAGGTAGGCAGTCGGGCTTGATCAACCCAAAGAACAATGGCTGGGATGAGTCCTGCTGCATGCCCAGGTTCTTTGGGCTCTTTATGTCTCTCAGTTTTTTTTCTTTCTTTTTCCCCTTCCCCCTCTCTTTCCCCATCTTCCAACTTTATTCCTCTGATTATCTCAGAGGGCCACCTACAGTCGTACTCATTTCAGCCAAAAGTACCCTTAGCTTCCTCTGGCTGGAAACAGTTCACCTTGATTTGTGACTTGCAAAGGTGGGAGGGATTCATCTGACACTGTGAAGGTCTAGGATGCTGAGGCTCTCCCTGATGGGAGACTAGCAAGAGTGGTGATGACATTGGCTCTGCACTGTGCAGTGGCTGGAAACCTCACAACCTTCCTTTCCTTCCCTTGTCTTTTTTCTTCCCCTTCTTTCTCTCTCACACCCACCCCCTTTAAACCTGGCCCATTTGCAGAGAACTATCAGAAATTTCATATTCTCCTATTTTCTCCCTGAAATGAATGAAAAGGTTTTCTCCCTAAATTTCCTCCTTGCCCTCATTCCACTGTCCAGTGAGACTCGAGTGCTCTCCCTTTTGTCTGCCCTGGGGAGTACCTCCCAGGCAGAACACTGGAACCATTTTCTTTTTTATAGGAAACTCTCCACTCTCGTTGCTTCTGATTGGGAAAACTTTGTCCAATTGAACTCCTCACCAAAATACTGATCTTTCAATATTTCACTCCCTCTTTATTTTGCTCTGAGATTCAAGAGCTCCCACTCCATGATCTTTTTGATAGCCCTAATTTCCCCCCATCACTTCCTCCTTCAAGTTTGGCCCACTGTGGCCTGGGCAAAGGTAGAGCAGTTATAATTGTCTGAGCTCAGTCCTTCAGCTTTCACCCCCTCCTCCTGACTGTTTGGCCTGTGTTCTAAATGAGGTAAAAGCAGTTTTGAGCAATGGGGGCCTTCTTCCTCAAGAGTGGATGAGTTATGTTGGCATCTACTACTGCCCATCTTCAACACAACACAAGTGCACTGTACACTTGTAGCCTGTACAATACAAGTGCACTCTTTCAACTACACACACCATGGGCATTCCTAGCCTTGTAGTCACACATAGGGCAACCATTCCTTAGCAGCTAGTGTGAAACAACTATGTCTGTTATTTCTGTGTTTTCCTCTCTGATCCCTGAGGACCAGGATTCCTCCATCCAGGGGAATCCTGGGCTGACTACTGGGCTTAAAGGTCTTGAATTACATCAAGACTAACTCCCTGATGCTTTTCCCTCTACCAGGATCTTTAATCAAAGGTAACAGGAGAGGCAGGATTAGACATGAGCAATGATCTCAGTGTTCCCCGTGACTCTCTTCTAGGATATATTCTCTCCAAATGGGGGCAATTTAAGCTAGAAGACCTAAAGAAAAAGAAAGTAATCTCCCTTTGTAACATCACCTGGCCCCAGAACCCATTGGGAGATTAGGAGCAATGAACATTATATGAGTCTCCTAGGTATAATGCTACTTTACAGCTAAACTTGTTTTATAAGCAGTCACAGAGGTGGGAAGAAATCTCTTACGTGTGAACTTTTATGAAGTTGTATCAAGATCCTGGATTATTGGACTCATGTCACATATGCATGATGGCATCTATCATTCCCAGCTTATTGCCTGGGGTTGAGAAGCAAGTGCTGGAGCTACCCATTCATCCACTATTACAGTCACTGCCTAATCTTCCTGACCCTAGGCCTGATACATAGTAACCCTCCAGCCCTCTTTCAGGTTCAAGGCCTCCTTTGGCCCCTGAATCTCCACCATACCTGGATCAGGCCCATAGAGAACTAGAGGCTTTAAGGCCAGAGCCCTATCCACTATCCCCTACGGGGGTCTGATTGAGTTCCAAGCTGGCACCTACTTTTACCTCACCCCCAGTCCAGGGCCTCTATCCCCTAAAGGAGATAGCAAATGGGTGGGGAGAATAATTCATGTTCACATCCCCTTCTCCATGGCAGATCTCAGAGTATGTAAAGAAAAGTTTGGCCAGTTCTCAGAGGACCCCAATAAGTTCAGGGAGGAATTTGTAAAACTATGTCTGAGCTTCACCCTAACCTGTTAGGATGTGATGGTGATTTTAGACAATTGTGCCACCCCAGATGAAAAGATCCAGATTCGTGAAAGGGCAAGGGCACATGCTGACTCATTTGTATAGGCCAATGCCTCATATGCTGTTCATCAAGCTTTGGGGAAGACAATCGCTGAGCAGGACCCCTGGTGGGACCTTAGTGATGAAATAGACAAATGTAGGATGGAGCATTTTATTACCTACGTGGCTGAAGGGATGAGAAAATGCATGAAGAAGCCTGTGAATTATGACAAGGTTGGGGAAGTAGCTCAGGCTGGGCTGATGAAGAATCTCCTCAGCTGTGTTACAGAAGCCTTCAGAAAGTATACTAATTAATATGTTAATCCAGAGTTGCCAGAGGGGATAGCCTTGTTGGCTACGCACTTTGCATTTTATCACCCAGTTCACTCCTGATATTAGAAGGAAGTTACAAAAGTCAGAGACAGGGCCCCAAGCCCCTCTGTCAGTATTGGTAGAGAAGGCTTTTAAGGTTTTCAACAACAGGGACAGGGCAAAGCAAAGGAAAAAGATATCAGGCTGATCAAGAAAATACAGCTTTTGGCTACCTTGATTAGCCCTCCACCTCATGGCAACCCAAAAAGGCAGAGAATACCAGAGACAAGAGACAATTGCCCAATGTGGGACCTAACCAATGCACATATTGCCAGAAGGATGGGCACTGGAAAAGGGATTGTCCTGACCACCTCAAAGCAGGGAGGTCAGTTGACTTTCCAGACAGGATCCTCGTCTTGGAAAATCTCTCCCATGAGGGAGACTGTGCCACTGACTAATGGCACCCAAGAATCCACCCAGCTCCCACCTCCATCATCATCACTCCAGGGGAGCCTAGGAAAACTGAATTTCTTATTGATACTGGAGCAGCCTATTCTGTCCTAAGTCTGTAAGCCTCCTCCCCAATCATGCCTGTCTGGTGATAAGAATAGATGGATGATTTAAGGTAAGACAATATACTTTTCCTCCTGTCTGTGAGGCTGGTTCTGAAGTTATAACTCATTCTTCCCTACATATTCCTGAATGCCCCACTTTAGTGTTCGGTAGGAATCTGCTGAGCACACTGGGGGCTTCTATCTCATCAGAAAAAGATAGCTTCAAGGTGTCAGTAGACAAAGGACAAGGGATCAATTTTTTAGCCTCACTACAGCTAGTGGATATTAACATTTCCTTTATCCCTGATGAAATTTGAATTCAGGTTAACACAGTAGTATGGGACATTACAGTTCCAGGGTTAGCTGTCAGAGTTTCCCCTATTGAAGTAAAGCTAAAACCAGGAGTAAAATACGCTTGGAAAAGACAATATCCTCTAAGACCTGAATCCCTAAAGGGAATTCAGCCATTACTTACCAAGTTCCTAAAACGTGGATTAATAAAGGCCCATCAATGACCCTGTAACATTCCCATACTTCCCATCTAAAAGCCAAATGGGGAATATTGGTTTGTGCAGAGTTATGAGCTATAAATGCAGCTGTGGCTTCCATTCATCTGACAGTACTGCACTTGTATACACTGCTCACCCAGATTCCTGGTGATGCACAATACTTCACCATGCTGGACCTTAAAGATATATTCATCTGCATACCTCTGCAGCTTAATTCCCAATATATTTCTGCCCTTGAATGGAGGGATCCCAATATCTTAGAAACCACTCAGCACACCTGGAAAGTGCTCCCACAGGGCTTCTGGGATGCCTTCACCTATTTGGGAATGCCTTGGCAGCCAAATTGACAGAACTAGATTTCAGAGTAGGAGCCATATTGCAATATGCAGATGACCTGAGGATTGCCAATCTGACTAAGAAAGACTCTGACTGTAATATCATTAAGACCTTAAATTTCCTGGCAGAACAGGGATACAAAGTTTCCTTGGCTAAGGTCCAAATCTCCCTATAAAGGGCCCAAAATCTAGAATTTGTTCTCACTCCCAGTGCCTGAGCCTTGGCTATGGATCAGAAAAGGGCAATTGATGTATTGCTGCCCCCATAAACCAGGAAACAGCTACAGGATATTATTGATTTGACCAGTTTCTGCTGAATATGGATTCCTAATCATGGCTTAATTGCTAAGCCCCTATACAAGGTGCTGACGAGGGGAAAAGGGTACCCCTGCAAAGAGATAAGAATTGTCATCAAGGTTTTGAGGACTTAAAAACTGAGTTAAGCCAAATCCCATCACTTGGGCTTCCTAACCTGGATGAGCCCTTCACCTTATATATATATATATGAAAAGCAGGGAATGGCTTTGGGGGTTCTAACACAGAAGCTAGGGCCAAACCAGTGGCCAGTGGCTTACAACAGTATTCCATTGCCCAGGGTTGGCTCAGTGGCAGCTACTACCCTCCTGGCTAATGAGGCCTCTAAACTTACCTTGGGTCAGTACCTAAAAGTTGTAATCAAGTCCAGACTATACTGGGGGTGAAGGAACACCATTGACTCATCAAGCTCTTTTATTAGACACTCTGGATGTTTCACAGAGTGTCAGATTTTGATCCCTGTCACTTTAGTCCCTGTTGCAGACATGAAGGCCTAATTCATCAATGTACTGAGACAACAGAATAGACCTATTCCATTAGGCCTGAACTCCAGGATGAGCCCCTTGACAATTCAGAAGTAGAATGCTTTCCTCATGGAAGTAGCTTTATGGAAGAAGGTGTCCAAAAAGTAGGCTTCTCAGCAGAAGCTCTTCCCACTCTGACCTCAGTTCAAAAGGCCAAATTATTTGTTTTAACTAGGGTTTTGCAGCTGAGAAAAGCAAAAACAAACTAAACATTTTTACAACTAAAAGTATGGGTTTCATGTCTTATATGCCCACACTGCCATCTGGAAGAAAAGGGGTATGCTAACAGCTAAAAATTTCCCAATAAAGCATAGGGATCTAGTCTTAGCTCTTCTGGAAGCTGTACAATTCCCTGGCCAGGTGGAAGTCATTCACTGCAAAGGCCATCGGAGGGACAGATTGCTTATTAGCCAAGGAAATTAGCTGATAGGACCACAAAATAAGCAGCTTAAGCACAGAAAGATGACCAGGTAATGGTACTAATAATCAACCCTTTGGGACTTCCCAGCTAACCTCAGTACTCCCAACAAGAACAGGATGACACTGAGAAGTGGGAATAGGAAAAGAGGAGTGCCAGGTGGTTGGTTAAGGACAGTAAAGTCCTTATCCCCGCACTTGGCAGTGAAAATTTATTTAGTACCTACATGAAGTTACTCACTATAGGAGGGATATCTTTTGGGAATTAGTACAAAATACCTCTTCTGGAAAGGGGCCAAGAAAGACTGTAAGTCAAGTAACCATGGCCTGCAAATTACGTATTCAAAACAATCCCCAGACTCAACTGGTTCCTCTTGCCCTAGTCAAGCCAGTCCAACACTAGGGAACCTACCCTGTGGAAGACTAGCAAAGAAATATTACCCAGGTGCCCTCTCTTTTGGGATAGAAATACCTTCTCATTTTCATGGACACTTTTACTGGCTGGGTCAAAGCATATCCAACCCAGTCTGAAAAGGCCACTGATACTTGCGAAAGTCTAAAAGAAGTAATTCCTCAATTCGGTCTTCCAAAGTCACTCCAGGGAAACAATAGACCCTGTTTCATAGCTAAAATCACTCAAAGCTTTTTGGAAGTCCTGGGAATAGATTATAAATACATGACTGTTGGCATCCCCAATCCTGAGGAAAGGTAGAAAGGATGAATCATACCCTTAAAAGAACTTTGGCAAAGTTATTTCAAGAAACATAGCAAACCTGGATAAGGCTATTTCCTATTGCACTCTTTCAGATTCACACTGCCCCAAAGAGCAACTTAAAACCCAGTCCATTTGAAATGGATTACAGGAGGCTCCTCCTCACTACTGACATTTTACTGGACTGAGAAATGAGTCAAAACATATGGTATTATCAATGTGGATCAGATTCAGAAAGCAATATTACATTTTGGGAATAAAGTACCATCAACTTCTATAAAAGAGGGACAATCTCCTCTAAAGGTCAACCCAGGAGACCAAGTCCTTCTTAAGATTTGGAAAGAAGGCTCCCCAGAGGATCAATGGTTGCCTAAGTGAAAGGGCCCTAGGACTGGGTGATCCTGGCTACTCCAACTGCAGTCAAGCTACCAGGGATCTCCAGCCTCTCCCAATTAAAAGGCTTTCACCAGAATGTTTCTAGCCTCATCCAGAAAGCCCCCTTTCCTCCCGTGAATGAGTGGAAGGCCTCCACTACAGGTTTACAAGAACCGATAGCCAGATGCAAACACATAATGCTGTGAGTAAGCATAGGAAAACTAATTTTTCTCTTCACCCTAATTACCGTTTTCTTGTTCTACCATCTGGACAGCCCCTCCCACTGGTAAGGACCTTTTCTTTCTGTCCTTGCTAGGTTTAAGGCAGGATCACAATGAGAAATAACTTCCTCTTCCTCCTTCTCCACATACTCGTTGCTACTAGGGCCCAATGGGAAGAAAACTCACTCATCAATTTTTCCAGGATTATCACCTCAAGGAACAACCTAACTGTTAGATTTGCCACCACACCTACAGGTGGGAGGAACTAAGCTCCAATTTGTCCCCACTAAGACCAATTTGACATTAAATCTTACCTCTGACTATGTTGAAAAGCCATCACCTATGACTACACAAATTGAAGTAACAGAAAGACTTGAATGTGTGTGCCTCACAGACATCTATAACCAATCCATTTGGAAGGAGATCTAAATGCTTAATTGTCCATCCTTGACAGCCCCCTGTTGTCCTTGTAGAACCAGTCCTTGGGCAAATATAATATATGTAGACAGTTGGCGTCCACCCTCAATTTACCCAATGGCATTCAATATCCCTGAACAATGTCAAACTAATACTACCTATTGGTACCGCGCCTCTCATTTACTAAAACATCCTGACTGGTTCCACCCCATCATCTCCACAGGGATGACGTACAGATTGGACAGGTATGGAGAGTATAACATGGAGGCCCTTTTGTCTACTTCCTAAGGGAGAAAGGGCATTCCCTGGGTGCAAAGACCCAGAACTCAGTGGGAAGACCTCTTTCACCCCAATGCAGCAGCAACATTCCTTCCTGAGAACCTAGTTCGAATAAATGGCTCAACTCCTCTATACCCCCCATCAGGCAGGCCCAGCCCCTGGATATGTATTCCTTTGTAGCAGTCAAGGTCCTACAAGGGAGAAACAGACCCCATCTTCCCATTCAACTTACAGGCCTTAGCCTATCCTTGTTTGGACACCCCCAGTTCCAAGGAAAAGTTACCGTAAGACAGTTGGGCTCCAATAGAGTAACAGTCCATAACCTTACTTCCAAAATTAGAATATAAGAGACCAACTGAGCTAATCCTGGCAGAAATTATGGCAGCTATGGGAAGGGTAGCTCCCTGAGGGGCTTCACCTAACATGAAATAACTTTTAAAAACCTTACACAGATTACAGAAAAGTTGACCACAAATATAAGAGAAGGCTTATAAGGTCTCCAGGCTTCCCTAGACCAAATGGTGGTGTTGTCAACAATTGGCTAGGATTAGACCATGTTCTAGCTGACCAGGGAGGGTGTGTGTGCAGTTATCAACAAAACTGGTTGCACTTACGTCAATAGCTCTGGAAAGGTTGAGACCAATATACAAAAAATATCCAAACAAGCTACATGGTAACATAGATCTAACCAGGGAACTGACCCAAATTATGTCTGATCAATCACCAAAAGTGCCTTCCCAAGTCTCACCTGGTTTCTGCCCTTCTTAGAACCTTAAGTAGCTGTATTATTATTACTAATCTTCAGCCCTTGTCTACTTAATCTTTTAGTAAAGTTTGTGTCTTCCAGATTGCAACAGTTTCAGATAAAATTGATGCTGGCCGAAGGGTACCAGCCTGAGCCACTGCAGGAAGGAGCAAGTCCCTATAAATCATTAGATTGGATAGCAAGAGATTTCTATGCCTCTGGAGCAGGTAGGGATGACAGACCCTGCTCAGCATGAAGCAGTTATAGAAGACAAGATTTTCATTCCTTTCTCCCCCTAAGAGTAATGAGGTTGAGGCCAGGTGTGGTGGCTCTTGCATTAATCCTAGCACTTTAGGAGGCCGAGGCGTGTGGATCACCTGAGGTCAGGAGTTTGAGACGAGCCTGGCCAACATGGTGAAACCCCGTCTCTACTAAAAATTTAAAAATTAGCTGGGCATGATGGCATGTGCCTGTAATCCCAGCTACTCAGGAAGCTGAGGCAGGAGAATTGCTTGAACTCAGAAGGCGGAGGTTACATTGAGCCAAGATAGCGCCACTGCACTCCAGCCTGGGTGACAGAGTGAGATTCTGTCTCAAAAGAAAAAAAAAAAGAATAAGGAGGTTAAAACCTCTTAGGGGGGATTGAGACATTATAGAGAAAATACTTGGTCCCCACAGAGATATGACACCAAGGCCCCGATGGGCCTTTCATATCTGGGTGTATCTCTCCCCTACCTTTTTGCCTCCCTTAACAAGTCATGTAGGAGGAAGAGGCGCCTCTCCTAATTTAGCTGACCAGGCTGAGTTCCTAATCATAAAAGGAAGAATCTAACCATTTATCTCTTCGAGTAGTGCCTTCTGAAGTCCCTGAAGCAAGACTCCAGCATCCCTGATAAGAACCTGACCAGGCGTGGTGGCTCAGTCCTGTAATTCCAGCATTTTGGGCAGCCAAGGCTGACTGACCGCTTGAGGTCAGGAGTTCGAGATCAGCCTTGGCAACATGATGACACCCTGTCTCAATAAAAAATACAAAAAATTAGTCGGGTGAGGCAGCACATGCCTGTGATCCCAGTATTCTGGAGGCTGAGGCACGAGAACTGCTCGAACCCTGGAGGCAGAGGTTGCAGTGTGCCGAGATGGTGCCACTGCACTTCAGCCTGAGTGACAGAGGTAGACTGTGTCCAAGAACCTGATCAAGTCCACCTGCCTGAACACAAGACGGACTCCAGTGCTGACCTTTCACTGACTTTTTTTTTTCATTATAATTTCATTGTAATACTAAAATCTCCACTCAAGATAGAGTTTAACCCTCATTTTCTGGTCATGTGATGCTTGAGTATGAGGTACCACTGCACAAGTGAGAAAAAGACCCCACCTAGAGACATTTCTATGTCACTCCTCTTCCCACCTCACCTTCCTTAAAATGACAAGAGCCAAGCCCCTCCAGGAGCTGGTACCAGGATCCCATTGCTGTACACTGCTCCCTTGTGTGCTCATGCCACAAGCCTATGAAATGAAAGCCTGTGAAACCTTGGCTGAGAAAAATTTCTGTCTGGCATAGTGTTAATTTCTACTTATGTGAGAGCCAAAGAACTCAATGTCTAGGCTGTGGTAACAAGGGTACTTAAGAATCACTTAAGTAGTGAATTTAATACCACAGGCAATCAAATTCACTAAAGGTTGCCTAATAATACATCACCCCAAAAATAACCCCTTAGGCAGAAGCTACTTTATGTGTAATTTACTGATGGTCTAGTTTTCAAGACAGTTATTTTCCTTTTAAGCAATGGGTGGGGAAATTTTTACATATTTTTGTTTTTGTTGTTGTTCTTTTTTTTTTTTTTTTTGAGACAGAGTCTCGCTCTGTCACCCAGGCTGGAGTGCAGTGGCATGATCTCAGCTCACAGCAAGCTCCGCCTCCTGGGTTCACACCATTCTCCTGCCTCAGCCTCCTGAGTAGCTGGGACTACAGGCGCCTGCCACCACGCCTGGCTAATTTTTTGTATTTTTAGTAGAGACAGGGTTTCACTGTGTTAGCCAGGATGGTCTTGATCTCCTGACCTCGTGATCCGTCCACCTCGGCCTCCCAAAGTGCTGGGATTACAGGCGTGAGCCACCGCGCCTGGTCACATATTGTTTTTTACCTACAAATTCATCCTTATTTCTCTACTCAGCTTTGTGGCCATATGAAGTACATTTCCCAAAATGCAAAGTTAGCTGGTTCCTATTGGTTTCTACCAACAGGAGACGCTATAGGGGGATTGGAGGGAGGAAGTAGAGAGAAGGGACTTGCTTGTTTGTTTGTTTGGTTGGTTTTTTTGCTCTTGTCAGCTTGGTTCCATCCTTCAGCTTCCCTTAGCACTCCTAGAATCAGCCTCATCACACTCTCAGAAATCTAGCAACAGCCAGAGATGCCCCTTCCTCAGAGAGCTGAGTACCTGGATTCTGCTAAATCCACCTCACATCTCTCTCTTTTTTTTTAAACCTCAATTCCAAAGAGTAGTAGCTGCTTCCTTATTACTTCAGTGCTTCCCCCTTTTTTCCCCCAGCCTTCAAAGCCTTTGTAACTCATTACCTGTATCAAATCCCTTCATTTGAAATGCTTAGCGTATTTTTTGTCTTCCTGACTGGAACTTGCACAGTACAGAAGGCAACAGGTGGTCTGGGTAATATGTTCAAAATGAAAGAACAAAATGTAAATGCATTAATTGTGCTACTGTTTATGCCTGATTTATTCAAGCAATTGCACTTACTGAGCTTATCTGTCCAGAGATGGATGTTGCTGGTTTAAAGTCAATGATTTATACAATTCAAATATAAAGTAAAACCCAATAATCAAATATATCAAAAAGTATACGATTTTAGATAAATGTACAGTTCTATATTTTCTTATTACTTACTTGCCCAGGTCTCTTTATTGAAGGTAACTGCTGATATTTTCAACAGTTACCTATGCTTCTGAGTCATCACCATCCAAGGTCCAGCCCTTTATTTCTAATATCAGCCTTTCAAGATCTTACTGCCCTAAGCCCCCTTTCCTACAAATGTCTCACCCAAGTCCATAGCCCCTCCTTGGATCCATGTACTCCAGGGGGTAGACAAGTGACATTGTCTTCACTTCCTATGCACTAAGACCCAATGTGGGACAATTACCAATACCCTGGGTTGATTTGGCATAGTCCACTAAGTATTTATGTTGGAACCGCAGTATGAACTAATAGGATTACCTTCTCCAGTTCCATGGAGTGCACAGTTTGAATCTATACCATAATTTAGAGCTCACACTAAGTAATGCAACTCTTCTGAGCGTCCAGATTTAATGTCAAATGACAGGAAGTAGCTACTTTCTGTATGTAACCTGCTCTATCTTCTCAGAGAAATCGCACTGACACAGCTGGATTCTCCCCATTTTTTCCCAATATTCATCCATCCAGACTCCTACAGTTCCCTTCAATGCTTGGAGTCCCAGGGTCTTGCAACATTCCATTTAGGAGTAATTTCCACTCTATTGTGCATCTTTTATCAAGATTTATTTTAAATCTTGGTGCTATTCTACTCAGTCTCTACAAGAAGAGCTCAGTGTTTTTAAAAACCTGTGCATATTTTTGAAACTAAAAAAGTTCTTATTGGTACTGAGAAGGGCTTCTTATTTCTAATTACTGGGATGAACCCAATACTTGGAAAATTCTACACTATAGGTTCACTTCAGATGAAAAATATATTTATGCTTTCTGGTAATTTACTTGAAGTATCTTTGAAGCAGTGACAAAAGTCTGCAAGGCAGCTATATGTTTTCAATTAAGCACTCTGATTTTCTGGAGAAAATTAAAATATATTCATTCAACAACCAACAATCACCTAAAGTGTTATGTCCAGTGGCTGAGGGGAATCTAGCTAAACAGTTTAGAAAGATAAGATCTACCCATTTCTTAGGAAACTAGTGAAAAAGAAATTATCAGAAATATATTTCAGAAATGAAAGGTAGACTTTAAAGTCTCTATGTTACTTAATAAGTGTATAAATAGAGAAGACAGTTTTCTTTGTATACATCCAAAGGTCCTCTTGCATTCTAATTCAGGCTCTCTTACTCTCTTGCTTATCTGCTAACATAACTTTCATACCTCCCATATTTTCCCTGAACTCTGACTCCAATCTATTTTTCACAAATAACATCCTTATTATTCAAAATCTAAAGAAGCCATTGCATGTTTTACATTTTATTTGGTTCTACACTAATACAAAAATCTATTAATTAAGCTGTATTCTGTCTCTTATTCCAAAATGTACTGGTCTAGTTACAAAAATCTATTTTTTCCTTTTCTATATTTTCATCCTTCTTCAAGTTGAAAGACACATAGATGAGAGTAGCCCAGCAATATTTAAACACTAATTTAACTCTGATAGCCCAGAACTAAAGAGAATACATTAGAAAAGTAAATTGTAGCCCTTGTACTCTTTCACTTCAGAGAAAAAGTAAAAGTAAAATAATTCAGAGTAAAGAGAATAGACAAATTCAAGAGATATATACAAGGTAGCTTTAACAAGACTGTGATTGATCACATGTGCGAGGTAAAGGGGAGACAAGAAAAATGTCCAGATTTCTAACAACAATTTAGGCTGTGGGTCATTCTTTGACGTCATAGATAGAGAAAGAACGCAATGAGGAAAAAGATGAGTTGTCTTGGATGTATTAAGTCTAAAATGCTTATGTGAAATTGAATAGTGACATCAAGTAGGAAAATGAGTATATATGTCTGTATCTGCTATGGAATGAATGTTTGTATTGCCCAAAATCGTAAGTTGAAACCTAATCCTCAATGTGATATTACTGGAAGGTGGAGGCTTTGTGAATAAATTAGATCGTGAGAATGGAACCCTCATGAATGGGATTATTGCTCTTATAAAGGAGGACCCACAAAACTTCCTTGTCTCTTCCATGCTGTGAGAAAACATACAGAAAACTACTGTCTATGAACCAGGAAGCAAGCCCTCACCAGACACTGGATCTACCAGCACCTTGATCTTGGACCTTTACCCTCCAGAACTGTGGGAAATAAGCCATCTAATCTATGGTATTATATTATAGCAGCCGGAACAACCTAAGACAGTATCTTCCTAAAACGATGGGCTTAAAATATAGATCTAGGGGGCTGTGGCTGTTGGATGGTCCTCAAAACCATTTTTCTATTGAGAGAGAATATATGAAATGAGAAAAGGGAGTCTGAGAAACATCACAGTTAAAGAAGAGAACCCTTACAAAGAAGACTGAGTGACAGAATCAGAGACATAGGGTGAAAATGAAGCAAAGAAAGCAGGTGTTTTTAAGGGGGAAAGATTACAATGCTGAGATATTAAGTCAGATAAGGACCAAAGAGTTTCAAATAGATTTAGCAACAAGTGATTTCAGTGCTGTTACAGGGACTAAAGCAAGATGGCAATGAATTGAGCAAGTGAATAAGGTGGTAAGAAGATGGAGACTACAGTATAAATTATTCTTTTAAGAACTGTGTCTTCTTTAACAGAAAAAAAGAGTAGAAATGGAATAAATTCTGATAGAAGTTTTCCAGAAGAGAAACAAAGATTGAAACACCAAAGGCAGAAGATCTCTGCATCATCAGTCTCTCCACTTCTCCAGTTCTCAGTACAAAAAATATTCTCAGATCTCCCACGTGTAAAAATTGTTTTAAAACATTCTCTTTTGATCACCCCATGTCTCTATTATCTTATTTGTCTCCTCCTTTGTACAAGAGAACTTCTCAAAGGAAGGATCCATAATCATTGTCTCCACTTCTTCACCTTGTATCTGCTACTTAACTGCAATTCTGCCCCAGTCACTCCTCTGAAACTACTTTATTGTGAAACCAAGGACCTCTATCTCATCAAAGTCAACATAAAATCACACCTATGTTCTCATTTTAAACACTTAGAAGTATTTTAATCTGCTCAAGTACTCTGATTTCTTGAATTCTATGGCACCACACCTCATGGTTTTCATTCCACCTCCCTGGAAAATCCTTCTGTCCCAGCACACTTCTTTCTCTGTGAAAGCACTGAATGACAGAATAGCCCCAAACCAGACCTAGATGTTCTTCTATTTTCCATCTACGTTTACCCAACCCACCATGTCTCCAAATAGCAGATGTACAAAAAGCTCCTTTTTCTCATAGTTGTTCTTCTTGACATCTCTACTGGACTGTCTAATTGACACTTTAGATTTACTGCCTGTCAAATACTGGCTATTTCCCTCTGAAAGTGAAAATGGATGGCATACAAAACATAGATGGAGAGATTCAGAAGATGAACATTTCTTCCATTGTACAGGCAGAAAAAAAAGAGGATGGGTACAAGTGCCATCTTGGTAGGTTTAGGCAAGTATCAGGCAGGTGAAGGGAGACCTCAACTTAAAGCTTCTATCACCTCATAAGTGAAAAGAGAATGGGAACACCTTGTGGGCCCAGTTGTGGCTGGATATCTTGAATTTATGTGACCATTAGGAGTTATAAGCAAGAGAGTGATGTAATTATATTAATTTTGAGAAAGGTGAGTCTGCCAGAATAGAACATGAATTAGAAGACATTGAACTGATAAGCATGGAGTCCAATTAGTCAAGACCCCAACCATGTTTAGGAAAAAATAATGATTATGGAGAGAGAATGCCATAGTGCACATCAAATATTCAATCTTTCTGTGATTTACCAGTATTCAATAGTCCAAACTCCTTTTGGTCTATTTAGAGATGATTCATTTACTACCTGTTTATTTTTTCCTCCAAACTTAGGACAACTGCTTCCCTGAAGGCATCACTGATCATGCAGAAGAGAGGAGTAATGGGTAAATCATTGTGAACAACACTGGAATAAATAATCCTTTCTATTCTTTAAAAAAAAATGGAGGTAATATCTCTATCTGAATGCTTGCACATGAGTGAAACCCGATAGAAAGAACTAACTGTTCTTCTGCACCCAAGATGAGAGGGCATTTTTGAAGAACTTTAACTGGAAAATGCTGTCGAGATCATCCTGCTAAGGAGTATGTGTGTTTCTTGCTGTTCTAGGTGCTAATGGACATAAACAAACTGTAAGAACAATTCATTTCTGGCACCCTCTGAGGATGCTACTCTTAATAACAGAAAGTGTAGAGCTGGGTATCACCTCTGAGAAAATGTGTTCATGAAAACATCCATTGTGCAGGAGTCGGAAGATCTGTCACTCCCCCTAAGAAATTGGAGTAAATAGCTCATTAAATTTACATAGCATACTAAGGTGAGAGAGAAACTATAAAAATCAAGAAAGAAGGTAAATAAACAAAAAGGCTGCATGTCTCCAATGGAAACTGTTTAATATGTATTAGGAAGAAAATAAGTTACATATTAAGCAAGAATTTAACCATAAGTTGTAATAAAAACTGACCTGGCCACTTACTAGGTGGTTTTTCGTAACGTTCTCAGTGTACTATCATAAAGGAACAAGATGAATTCCTGACAGGAAGAAGGGAGGGGAATGGTTACATGGAAATTACAGATGATGATGAATATCAGGTAGTAGGTTAGGAAGTTGGGTTTTGGGAATTTATGTATATTTAAATATATATATACACACACACACAGATATGTTTTTAACATATATACATACATTCCTATACATGTATATGTATAGAAATAGGAATTTATATAATTATATAGGTATGAATATATTACATAAATATGAATTATATATGTATATTCATATTATACATAAATATATATGTTGTTACATATACATATATGCATATACACACATATACATATATGCGTATACACACAAATATACATATATGCGTATACACACAAATATACATATATGCGTATACACACATATATACATATATGCGTATACACACAAATATACATATATGCGTATACACACATATATACATATATGCGTATACACACATATATACATATATGCGTATACACACATATATACATATATGCGTATACACACAAATATACATATATATGTGTATACACACAAATATACATATATATGTGTATACACAAATATACATATGTGTATATTTTATACATATATGTGTATATTTTATACATATATGTGTATATACACAAATATACATATATGTGTATATTTATGGAACATAGAGTCCAATTAGGACTCCAATGTATATGTTGTTCATCCAACTGAAACACAGATCTTTTCAAAATTTGATTATCTACTCTATGCAAGCACTATAAGAAATTTAATGATGGTATAAGACATAATTCCTTTTCTCAGTTTTTTAATATTTGAGATTGATTTATCACTTAGAGCACAAGCACCTGGTTCAGTATATGATCAATAAATATTTGTTAAATTTGTGGAATGAATAAATTAATGAATAACAATCTTGTTTCTGATCTTGAACAATGCTTAAAATGCTGAAAGTTGGGAACCTGACATAAAAGTAACAAATACCACAGCCCTGTTAGGTTTGGAGCAGTAATCCCAGCCAAAGACTGATCCTATTGGAAAGAGTGATTAAAAGTTAAGCTCAAGGCTGCCCACTGGGTAAGTATACTGTGCAGCAGTAGGAGGCAGAGAGGAGCACAGGAAATCTGCCACCTCTCCCTCCAAGGGAGTACTTCTGTACTCTAGAGTGGAGGACGATGTAAATCACCCTTGAAACTTGTGTAATTGAGAGTGACATAAAACAATGTGATGAGCCAGAGTAAGTAATTAGAGAATGCCTAAGTGTGGGGAGAAGGGGTAAGTCACAATATAGCTTCATTCTTGAAGGGAGGTTCAGATGCCTCTACTTTCCCTCCTGAGCCAGATAGATTGAAGCTGACTTCTGAGAGTGCTGTGACTGTGCAGAGATTTAGGCTAAATTGAAATCAACACTGTTCTGAAATAAAAACATCCTTTCTCTGCTCTTTACAAATTCCTGTGCCACTGGAGGCTACTTCCAAGCAGCTGTTAGCTTATTTTTTTCTTACTTTTCCCTTTGTTAATTCTCTTTTATTAATGTCATGTCCTAGCTAAAAATATTTAGTGGCACCACTAGCCTGGGCCTTCTAAATCAAATCCCCCAAATCTGTTCGCCACTCACCTTTTCAATCTGATCTTCCATACTGCCCTATAAGCCTTCTCTACCCACCAGGCTAATTTATTCACTATATCCAAATATGCCTTTCATGTCAATGCCTCTGCTTACTTCTTGCATTCTTTTATTAATTTAACAAAATATTTGGGCAAGACATGTGTTGATTGTTTATTTTATACCAGAGAACTGTACTAAGTACTTTACATGAATTTACTAATCACAATAGTGCTTTGAAGCTAATTATATTGCTATGCTCATTCGCAAATGAGGAATTAAAGAATTGCAGTTCTTGATAACTTTTCCAAGAACACACAAAATAATAAAGAATATGTGTGAAATATTCTGATTCATTCAACAAACACAGAACAGATGCTTATCATATGGCTCCTATGTAACCTTATCTTCTGCAGCTCCCCACTCTGGGACAATCTGGAGTTTCAGTCAAACTGTTCTACCACTTATTTTATGACATTCTCATTCCTGATCCTGTAACCTCCTGCCTGAGAAGTCCTTCTTTTTCTTTGTCCCGATCTAATTTTTACTTCAAGAACTGGGCCACTTCTCCAGTTGGGCGGACTACTGCATGTAGTCTCTGTGAAATCTAATCAAATTCTACTGTGTTATTACTTTTCCTTATTTCAGCATGTATATCTAAAGACTATAATGTTAGGAATTATATATTCTTTTATATCATCCAGAGTCTAGCAGTACCACATTTCTGGAAGTTTCTACTAATTTTAAGAACAGAACTCACCTCAACTAAATTGAGTCCCCAACTGTTTAAAAGATGCTTTTTCACTTTGTCTGCACTTCCTAGTACTTACAGATGCTAGCTTTTAAACTTACTTTAGAGAATTATTTTCAAAACTCAGTCATTAAAGATGCAGAAAAGGTCTTCAGAAGGGATGTTTGAAATGAAGAATTCTCAAGGTTGAACATCTTCTCCCTTTTCAAGATACATAAAATTGTTTCAAATAAAAAGTGACTCAAAGAAAGGATGGTATTTTGTTTTTGTGCCTAAATTAATCTAATAACATGCTCAAAAAAATGACAATTCAAATGACTTTGAAGCAGAAGACATATTTTGCAATTTTTATTGTCAAACTTGAGAACACAGTCGTTTCCCCAAAATGTGGCTCATTAAATTGATTTCAAAGCATCTTTGTTTCTTTTAATTATACATGTCCATCTACTTTCTAAGCCCTTTTATTTGGCTTAAAACATTCCCCATTTTCTGACAAGTCTCTAATCTCTTGTAAGCTCCTCAGAGAAATTTAGTGACACTCTCTGTCACAGAATGCCACATGTCCACAGCCCCAGCACCCCTGCTGAACTTGCAAAGCTGCTGATTCTCTGGTTTGTGTCAGACCTCGGCACCTAAATTTCCTTTTCCAGGCTGCTGACAGCCATTTCCACTGAGTGCTTTGCCTCTGACTTTTCTCTCTAGACATTCAGGTCAACTGGGGTTCTGGTGATGGCAGAATTTCTCCTGTCTCCTTCCTTGCAGCTAAGGTCATATCCTGAGAGATTGACAGGCTAGGCAAGGAGCAGATGGGGAGTCTCCCTTGGCTGATGTGGATGTATGATGAATGACTACAATAAACCAGGAGGCAGCTGTGGTTCAGAAAGAGCTCTGAACTCACAGTTACAAGGGCCATGTGTGTCTCTTGTGTGAGCTTCTTAGCTGGTTTGTATCCACGGGAAAGTCACCACACCCCTCAGAGCCTCAGTTTGATCCCCTGCGAAATACACATAATACCTAGAATCAGGATTGCTGCAGTAATTATACAAGATAATGCAACAAATATGGGAATGGAAATAGGTGCAGGAAAAATATAAACTTAAATTCTAAATGTGGAGTTTCCTAGTTTCTCCTTTTAGTTTTACCGTACAGATGGAAATAGGTCAATGTAATTCCTTACAGCTAAAGTTAACTGAGATTAACTAAAACTACTCAGAAGCTAAAGCACTTGGATAACCTGAAGATTAAGAGCCACAAAAGTTTGATGAACTCTTAGAAACAGAAAAGGAAAAGAACTAAATAACAACTTATGCCAGGAAACTGGTTTTACTCTTTCATGCAAGGTTTGACATCTTGTCTGTCTGTCCATCATTGCAGTTATGCCCTGAGGAGGAAGGACATGGACAGGTACAGAATGAGGCTATCATAGCAAGGCAGAACAGTATCTCAACTTAACACTATGTATTTGTAAGCCATTTTATAGCTTGTACAGCACATTCTTATTGTTTTGTACTCAGGAATCTTTTTATAAGGTTCTGTGTGCAAAAAATAGTATGCCCTAGGTGATTCCCAGCATCACACATTCTAGGCTTCTAGAATGCTGGCCGGAAGCCAAAAGTCCAGTCTGTGCCTCTCTCTGATTCCAGTCTTCATGTTTCTGTCTAGGGGTCCCCTAAGACTTTCATGTGCAATCTTAGCATGCCAACTAACTGGTTACTGCCGAGAGGCACTGCCTTCTAGGTGCTAATCTAGGCATATAATGTTTAATGCAGAAATTTGGCCAAAGTCTCCCCCTCCATCGGTGGTCATAGGTGCGAAGGTGGCATCAATCCCAGCAGTGCTAGTTATCAAGGCACAATGACCACTCTCCAGTGTTCCATTCATAGAAGGTGGTACCCTGGCCAGGGCTCTTTAGGTTGAAATGATTTCAATTTGTGTTGTTTTGCAGTCATGAGACAGAGTATATGTTACTCAAAGTGCTGCTCTTTGGACAAAAATAAGGCATGAGAACACGGAAGTAATTTAGTCTGTTTGGGGAGATTCAGGCTTTCCAATATCCTTGGGGTTAGGTGCACAGTAGCACTAGAGAAGACGAGTCTTCTGCATTGACTCCACATGAATGCCAGAACTGAGCTCTTTCTTTGCCTGCTACTAGAGGCTCACTGTATGCAGGTTAACCTACTAAAACTCAACATAAACAAGAGTCACCCCAAAATAAATAAATAAAAATAAAGTCCTTACCTCAAAAAGAGTGTATATGTGATTGTGAGGACTATGCTTCTTAAAGTGGGAAAAAGATTGCATACATTACTCACTTGAAGAACCCACAAGCACTAATAGATCCAAGCCCAGTGTTTTATATCTTATCATGTTTCTATTTTAATTACCAAATAGCTATAGGTATTAATTCCCAAATATGTGTAAACCTATTCTAAAAGCCTTGTGTTAGTCACCTCTCTGAGGACAGTATGTGGACAAGCCACACATCTCATTTTAACTCTGTTTTACAGATGAGAAAACTAAGGTTCAGACAGGCTGGGTTATTTGGTCAACAGACTGTATCTATACAGTACTGTATATCCTCAATTCTCAGAACAGAATCTATGTGGAGAAAAAAGTCAAGTGCATGAACTTAGCCAAGATCAACATGGCAGTAATTATCAGATTTGGGAACTGAACTCATGTCCTCTGATTCTGGTCTGCTTTCCCAACTCTAGGGTAGCATCCTGCTTGAATACATTAGTGTATGGAATCCTAAGCTCTTAGAACCAGAAGTGATCTTAACTGTCATTTAGTCTTCCAAACACATATTAATATGGGCAATAAAACATTCTGTATGGGATTATGTTGTGTAAGCTCAGGGGTTCATAGCCATTTTCAGGTTAAAAAAAGTTATCAGCAATGGTATCTTTAGAATAAACCTGTATATTGCAGGAATAGATAAATAGTCCTTGCTGATTATCATCATGATATCTGTGAGTTGGGAGATTGCTGCACATTGGTAGGTATATTTTCAAAGTGTTATCATCTCTTATTTTGTATCCTATAAAATAGTTATGAAAATGCCAAAACCAGGAGAAATGCTCTAGCCATAGTATCTTAATTCTAATGATATAAATGTACTGACAAGTAATTGCTGGCTGGGCATGGTGGCTCACACCTGTAATCCCAGCACTTTGGGAGACCGAGGCAGGCAGATCATGAGGTCAGGAGATCAAGATCATCCTGGCTAACATGGTGAAACCCCATCTCTACTAAAAATACAAAAAATTAGCCGGGAATGGTGGCACTTGCCTATAGTCCCAGCTACTCAGGAGGCCGAGGCAGGAGAACCACTTGAACCCAGGAAGCGGAGGTTGCAGTGAGCTGAGATCATGCCACTGCACTCCAGCCTGGGTGACAAAGTGAAACTCTGTCTCAAATAATTTAAAAAAAGTAATTGCTTAAAAGAGTTCAATTTCTGTAAAGAGCCTACCATTTATTTAATTTATCCTAAGTGAGGTTTTTCTGTTGATTTAAGCAATCACATATTGCTTAAATATCTTATGTGGGGGGCTCTAAGCTAGGTACTATGACAGCATATGAAGGTATATAAGATAGAATCTTGCTCCAGGGAGGTTGAAGGTGATGTAAAAGAGGACAATAACTATAACTCAAACAGGAAAAAAGGAGTACAGTATAAGTGGTATCAATAATGTGCTTAAGAATTTTAAATATCACATAAAGATGGGGAATTATAGAAAGCATTTATAAAATAGATTTCTAAGGTGAAATTTGAATAGTGAGTAGGTTGGGAGACCTACTGAGATGGGAAATCATTCATTCAATAAGTACTTATTGAGCAATAATAAGCACCTGGAACTTGTGAATACAGACATGAATAAGACATATGGAGCTTACAGTTATAATACTGTTAATGGACTAGGGAAAAGACAAATAATAAATGTGCAATTATGATAAAACAAGATGACAGTGAAGGACATGGTGATTTGAGAACATACAGAAGGAGGAAGAACAAATCTATTTTGCAGCATCAGTCAAGGCATACTTGAGTACCTGACCATTAAGCTAAAATCTGAAGATTAACTAGAAGTTAGCCAGGTAAAGTAAAAGAAGACAAAGTGTTTCAAACAGAAGAAACTTTGAGTGCAAAAACCCAGATATGAAAGAGAACATGTGATGTCCAGGAACAGAATTAAACTCAGAGTGGTCAGCTCAACATGAAAAACATCACGGAGATGTAACTAAAGCCTGATCTTAGATGGACTTGTAAATTCTATGTCTAGAGGGAAATTGAGCTATTGAAGGAATACATCAAGAATGAAAAGATTGGATATTTCTGAAAGGAGCATTTCAGTTCTATGAAGCAAAGAGACCAGTTACGAGGTTTATGGAGTAATCCAGGAATCAAGATGACAAACAATGGTGGCCTGGACCAGAGTGATAGCAGTGCAGAGAAACAGTCAAATCAGGAGATATTTAGGTGGTAAAATCAACAGAAGGTGATAATTAATAGAATTATGGGTTGAGAAGGTGTAGTATGAGGGCATGTCAAAAATGAGTCTGATTTCTCAAGTTTCTGCTGAGACAGGGAAGATTAGAAGAAAGAAGATTGGATGTACCTTTGTCTGTTTGGGTTGCAATAAAAAAAATCATAGACTGGGCAGCCTAAACAACAGAGATTTATTTCTCACAGTTCTGGAGCCTGGGAAGTCCAAGATGAAGGTGCCTGCAGATTGGACGTCTGGTGAGGGCCCATTTTCTTGTTCATAGATGGTACCCTCTCTTGTTCTTCCAAGGTGAAAGACGTGAAGGAGCTCTCTGGGGCCTCTTTCATAAAGGTACTACCTTATGAGGAACTAAGTCATTTATGAGGGCTCCACACTTATGACCTAATAACCTCCCAAATATTATAATATTAGAGATAAAGTTTCAAGATATAAATCTGGGGAGGACACAAACATTCAGTCTATAGCAGAAGGGAACCATGGTGGGTTTTGTTTTGAATATGCTGACTTTGAGGTCTGTTAAAAACAAGCATTCCAATGGAACAGGTTTCCAGGAAAGGGAGTCGCATCAAAAAAGACATGAATGGGTGGAAGAGAGGGAGATCTCTGTAGAGAAGAGGCTGGCTGAGGAGTAAAAAAAAATGAAAGGAGAGTAGTGTGAGAAAAGCCAGAGCCAGACTTACAGGAGCTGGAAAGCAAGGCCAGAGCAGAGTTTGTATGCACTCAAATCAAAACCTTATTAGAGAGGATGCAAGCCACACCACCCCCAGTTTGGGAAAGAAGTAGAAACATCAGTTTTCTAAGGAAATTAGGGTCTATATTGAAAAGAATCCCGGAAACTTGAAACTGTTAAAAGTGCCTCTCAAAAAGTTGCCCTTTTTCTCCCCAATGTTTGATTAGATCAAACTCAGAGCATTCTCAAAAGAGCCAGATTCTTCATGCTAAGGCCTAGTGGCGATTCCGTCCCTTCTTGGAGAAACACATCACTTTAGATCAGTTTTTGCAACATGACTAAAGAAAAAAATGGAAAATATTGTCTCCCTGCTGTATATTTGAATTTTGTTTCCTTCCTTCTAGGCTCAGTAGCTTCTTGGCTTTCAACTGTAAAAAGTGGTATCTATATTAACGATGTATACATCCTCAGGTGTCACTTCTTTTTAGTCATTTTTGCAGGATTTTTCCCTAATTCACCTAAAGATGAGGCCCTTGTCACGTGGCCATGAAAATTTAGGCTCGTAGGTGATTTGAAGGGTGTGTGATTTGAAGGGTTTTATTGGGTGAAAAGGAAGAAAAGGGAAAACAGGGACCCTACACAAAGCCAGAGTCACTGCTGGTGCATTTACTGTCTGACACTTTAAATCCCAGGTTCCACAAAGGAAGAGGGGAGGCCTGCCTCCTCTGCAATGGGCTCAAACTTCTGTGGCTCCACCCCAGTGTTCATACCTCCCAGTGCGCATGTCGGTCCAAGGCTCTGCCTGGGAGACCTTCCCACCTGGCTGTCTCATCAGCACAGGTATTTTATAGGGAGATAAAGCAGCTAAAATTAGTCCATTTTATACATGAGAAAATAATTAGGGACAGCTGTCAGGATGTGAAAGTAGATCTTCTGATGGTACAGACTTTCTCCACTCTGATAATAAGGAATTAGAGGGATTTTCATCCCATAAGTCAGAAATAGATGATATTTAGCACATGCTCTATTGAATTCCACTTCCTGTAGGTATAACAGACATCAATAATGAATCATGGCATTCTTTACTGCTGACTCTATGTGCAACCTCCAAATCCTGGTCAACATATGTTGTGTAGCAACCACTTGTGAATCTGAGTTGGCATATGATGAAATCCATTTTCAATGCTTACCTTAGGTGTTTCCATTTTCAATCAGGACTCTAAAAAACCTAATAGCTTTATATGCATTAAGCTATGACTCTTTGTTTGTACGCTAAGTAGTTATGAGCTCTTGGGATGTCACTATACAAATCTAAGCCCAGTTTCCTCACTAATAAAATGGATGATCTCTAACGTTTCTTTCAGTCTAACAGTAAATGATTATATGAAAGTCCAGGCATGGTGATGAGATGGGTTATTCTGAAGCAAGAGTGACCTTCCCATTGCCACTCAAGTCACATCAGATAGATTTCTGCTTTTATTTTCTTCTTAGTTCAGCCCTGCTAATTATTATTTATGTTTAAAGCTCATACTGGCCCATATAATGCTGTGGAATATTAATTGGTCATTTAAAATGTAATACATGAAACTATTTCTAACATTTATTCGGTCTCATTAGTTTGGGATTATACAGATTGCATACAAATTGCAAATCAGACTAGCTTAGTATAAGAAAGTAGGGACTTTTGAGTCAGAGGGAACTGAGTTCAAGTCCTGATTTCATCCTTGATGGGTAGTGAAAGACCCTAGTGAAGGTCACATACCTAAGGCTTGGATCTTTTAAATATACCTGCTATGTATAATTGGTGATGCATTGTTATGTGAAGTTGAAATACTGTGTGTAAATGCTTTCTATCACAGAGCCTGGCATGTAAGAAAAATATTATTATTTAGGGATCTCTCCTGTCAATGCAAGACACTACACAGTTGCTTATTTGTTTACCTACTTTGAAAATGGAAAATGTTGCCTTTTGCTTCCAGATGTGCTCCATAGACGACTTTAACATTAGCAGATCAAACTCCTTTCCCATAGCTCTTCTGTGGGAAGTTTTGTGGCATGTAGAACCATGTCTATAATCTTTGCCATTAACCCAAGGCCTGCGATCCCTGAGCAAAACACATGCCCTGCCATAGCCACAGATGAAGAAATGGACTGTAATGTTTCTTGGGACCACCATCTGGATCTAAACGAGCTCAAAGGGCTGACAGGGTGATACAATGCCTGTTTATTTGTACTCTATGTTCCAGAACTGGCAGATAAATGGCTATGTTTTAATCCCGTGTCTTCATGCTGGAACGAAGCTTCGTTTGAGACTAAATAAAGGATGTAAGTTTAGACTGGATACAATATGCATCCACAAAAGTATCACTGTATATTTGAAAAGCAAATATCATTAGTGGGAACTCAATACCTTCAGATTCTATTGAAGTGTGCTGAGCCTCTGTAAAGCAGGGTGATGAGAAAAATCGGCTTTTGACCAAACTGTAAAGAACAGCAGGACAGCTCTTCATGCTAAGGAGCAGGGAGGGGCAGCTGTGGAGCTGCAGACAGCAATTATTCATCCTAGTTCTGCCTATAATCCACCAAAAGAGGGAAAATCATCACTCCAGTGTGTCTTTGATTTCTGTATCTTTAAAACATGGGCAACTATTAAGCATTATCATGAACCATATTTAAAAAAAGGAAATCAAAGAGTTGGAAGGTTCAGTGAATGTGAGGTGATGAAACAAAATATTTTATAAATATTTATAAAATCAAGACTAGCCCTGACTTGATGGCTGCTGCCAATAATCTGCCAAAATATCTCACATCACATAAGAACCAGCCTCCCCTGATACTCTAAATTTCAATCATTTGGGATTTTTCTTTTAGGATTAAAAATTGTGTCTTTAAGAATTCCATTTTATGACCCAAATAGCCAACAAGAGAGTAAGGTATTAAACAATGCTTATCTTTTAATAGGTTTGTATATGAAACAACAGTGAGGGACATAAAATAGATTCACGCTGATTGAGGTGAGATGGGTAGAAGGATAGGTCTGGAGACTGAGGCACAGTACCTAAAGACAGGGTCAGATAGAACCCTCAGAAAAGAGGAATCCAAGGCAGGTGACCAGGAAAGGCAACAGAAGAGTTCAACATAGCTAAACTATAAGTATGGAAAGCCAAAAAAGATATCTTCAATGGGAGCATAAAGCAGGGCATCACACCTACTCCCTGTACAATGGCTAGCACTTTCTGCATGGAGTCAAGAAATCAAACTAGAATACCAGATCAAAATTGTTCTTTGCTTTTAAGTAGCACACTAGCAATGAAGCAAGATTGAGATAAGAAAGACTCTCCCCTCCTTCTCTAAACCTTGGTTCCCTAATTTGTAAAATGAGGTGACTGGAGTAGATGATCTCTGGGACCCATTCTAACATGCTACCTCTGTGTATGTCAAGAATGGCAACTACACTACAGGTATCTGAATACTTCCTCCACACACAAGCCTGGCAGACATGAATAACCAATCATGATGCTTGTCTGCTGAACTCAGATGCAAACTTAGAATCCTTTTCAAAGAGATAGCCACTAATAATCTAACAGAGTTGGCTTGGAATAGAAATCCATTTGCCATCCCTAATATATGTATTTAGATGCCTAAATTGTCTCAAAGACTAGCACAAATGATAACACTGGCTCCAAAATGTGGATTTAATTCTGCCCCAGTAACTGAGTAAATTCCTGTGGAGATTTTATGAGTGGAGCCAGCTACTAGAAGTGGAGAAAAGAGCTGTAGATACCCAAAGAGATTTGAAGAAATACTGAGCAGAATTGTTCACCCTTGTTCTTTACCTTTCCACAGTCACTACTGCTTAATATTTAATGTCCCCTCTGAAATGAAAACTACCCTGAAAATGGTCCAAAGAAGAAGACAACATAGTGTGGGTAAGAGTTAAAAGACTTGGATCACGTCTGGCTGTGAATCTTGGGTAGATAACATCTGAGCATTATTTCCATATTCTTACAGTGGAAACTAAAATACTTTATAAGTTTATTGCAAAACATAAATAAGATAAAAGTTCTTTGTACACAAAAATGTGTTGCTAGCATAAGCCCTGTATTAGCTAACACTTTTGGAGAATTTATTTCACAACCAGTTAAGATAAAAAGTTAACCACAGAATGGGAGGGACAAGATAGCCAACTAGACAAAACCAGTAGGAGCCTCTCCAACTGAAAGAGACCAAAATATTGAGTAAATCAACATATTTTGAACAAATCATTTGAGGGAAAACTCAGAGAGCTTATAAAGAGGAGACACAGACACCAAGGCTGAAGAGAGAGGAAGCCAGGAACCCAGTATGGGATTGTGGAACACCAGAACTCATTCCTGGCCCTGAACAGCTCCTAAAGAAGCGATGAGTGAAGAGACTGCACTTCAACCCACTGTCACCATAGACCTCTGAGATCCTAGCTACAAGAGATATGACCCCCATGGACAATTGAGCTGGCCAGGGCAACTTCCCGGAGAGTAGGTAGAGACAGAACTCAAGGCTGCATGGGATTTTGCAAGGGTATAGGGGCAATAAAATATGGCCGTAGGTGCCCATCTCCCAGGGCTCTCCATAGTCCTCTGAGTGCCTCTAGCCTTTGCTGACTGCTGGACCAGGAGACAACAGGGTTGTCTTTCCCATGGAACTGGGGTACACAAGATCTGCATGTCCCTGTGTTCACCGGCCCCTGGCAGGGTCCCTGCATGGCCACTGCTGCAAAAGCAAGCACATAGTGCAGCCTCCACTCCCTGGCCTGAGTGGTTTGCTGGTGGCCTGGGAACACCTTGGCCCCTCAGCACAGCTGGTACTTGGTTTTAAGGGACAGAGGACAAAGCCAAGGGCCCAGTCCTAAACCCCAGGGTTAGAAAGAGCATGCAGCTCTGGAGGGTGAAGCTGAGATAAGTGGCTGGAACTCAAGCATGAAAGAGCCTTCACTCTCAGAACACTGAGAAGAGTGAGGCCCAAGTTTATGGGTCAGTGCAGGATTTGGGTGTGCCCCCTTCTGTAGGGCTGGTCTGGGAAGGGTGTGGCTTATCTGCCACAGTGGCTGCAGCCTCTGACTGAAGGATCCCTGCAGCCCTGAACACCTAATAGCCCAGCAATTTGTGTGCAGTAGGCTTGGAACAAAACTAGCTAATCAGGCCAGTTACTGGGACAGCCACCAGAAGGAAAGCTGGTCAAGGGAGAAATAAATGGGTGGTCCTTATAGCTGTCTGCTGAGCAAAAATCCCTGGGTACAGGTGCCACATTAGTTCCACACCTACTGCAACACTGGCCTTGCCTGGAGATCCCCATTCTTGACCTACTACATCAACAGACCACCTGCAGACATATCCCACAACCCACAACGACTGTGCCAAACACAGAGATACAACAAGCTCCCAGGGAGCTGCAGGTCTCCTGGCAACTTAACTTTCCGTTTCAGCTGTCTGTAAGGAAGGCAGTATCACAGTCTGACAGAACCCCACCCCTTGAAACTAAAGAACTGCAGGAATAGTTCCAGTGACTGCAGGGAGCTCCCCTAAGGCCAGGGAATGGATCTGGTGAGGGGTTCATCTCTCTGATCTTTTTGCCTCCTCCACCAAAAAGCACCACTGCAAATGCATTGAAATGGGAAAGAGGCTTGCAGGTAGGGGCCTAACTGCCAGCCATTACTCTTAAGTGCCATCTACAGGATCACAGCCTGAATAACAAACACCAACAAATAATTGCCCATATACACTGCCCAATTCAGTAATCTAGCCACAAATAAACATCCCATACAGAGTCTTAATCTACTGTAAGCACCCAGAATCTAAGCAAATTGACTGAATTCAACTTGTACCACAATCAAACCCTCAAGGGTAATAATATAAAAACAAAAAGCCCAATGAAAAATGACAGCAACTTGAAAAAGGAAGGAATAACAGTCCTCTCAGATGAGAAAGATTTAGTGCAAGAAGTCTGGCAGTCCTAAAAGCCAGAGTGTCCCCTTACCTCCAAACAATGGCACTAGCTCCTTAGCTATGTTTTTAAGTCAGATTGAAATGACTGAAATGACAGATGTAGAATTCTGAATTTGAATGACAAGGAAGCTCAACAAGATGCAGGAGAGAGTTGAAACCCAATACAAGGAATACAAGAAATTCAGTAAAACAATCCAAGAAGTAAAAAATGAAATATCTGTTTTAAGAAAACCAAACTGAGTTTCTGGAACTAAAAAATTTACTAAGGAAATTTCATTATACAGTTAGAAGCATTAACAACAGAATAGATAAAGCTGAGGAGAGAATTTTAGAGCTCAAAAACTGGTCCTTTGAATCAACACAGTCACATTAAAAATAAGTTTTAAAGAGTTTTTTAAAATGCACAGCCTCCAAGAAATATGTTATTATGTAAGGAGACCAAACCTATGACTCATTGGCATCCATGAGAGAGAAGAATAGAGAGTAAGCAACTTAGAAAATAAATTTGAGGATATAATCCATGAAGATTTTTCCAATCCTGCTAGAAAGACCAACATGAAAATTCAAGGAATTCAGAGACCCCTGAAAGATATCATACAAAATGACTATCTGCTAGGCACACAGTCATCAGATTGTCTAAGTTCAACATGAAAGAAAAAAATCTCAAAGGCAACTAGAGAAAAGGATCAGGTCATTTACAAAGGGAAACCCATCAGGCTAGCAAGGGACCTCTCAAAGCAGAAGCAATTGGAGAACTATCTTCAGCATCCTTAAAAAAAATCCAACTGAGAACATCATATCCCTCGAAACTAAGCTCCGTAAGTGAAGGGAAAATAAAATTTCTTTCAGAGAAGCAAACGCTAAGGGAATTAATTAGCATTAGACCAGACTTACAAGGGGTCTTTGAGTGCTAAACATGGAAACAAAAGAATGGTACCTGCTACCATAAAAACACACAACGAAAAAAAAAAAAAAAAAAACTTTAGGCCAATATGTTTGATGAACACAAATGCAGAAATTTTCAACAGAAGGCTAGCAAACTGAATCCAGAAGCAAATCAAAGAGCTAATTCACCTTGATCAAGTAGGCTTTATTCCTGGGATGCAAGATTAGGTCAGCATATGCAAATCAATAAATGTCATTCATCACAAACAGGATTAAAAACAAAAACAATATAATCATCTCAATAGACACAGAAAAACTGTGGATAAAATTTAACATCTCTTTATGATAAAAATACTCAACAAACTAGGTATCAGAGGCATATACTTCAAAATAATAAGTGCCATCTATGACAAACCTACAGCCAGCATCATACTGAATTGGCAAAAGCTGGAAGAATTCCCCTTAAGAACTGGAACAAGATAAGGATGCCCACTCCCACCACTACTATTCAATAGAGTTCCGGAATTGTTAGCCAGAGAAATCAGTCAAGAGAAAGAAATAAAGGGCATCCAAACAGGAAAAGAAGAAGTCAAGCTATTTCTCTTCACTGATGATATGACTCTATACTTAGAAAATGCTAAAGACTCTGCCAAAAGACTCCTAGAGCTGATAGAAACTTTAGCAAAGTTTCAGGATACAAACTCAATGTACAAAAATCAGTAGCATTTCTATATACCAATAACACTCAAGCCGAGAACCAAATTAAGAATGTAATCTTACTTACAATGGCCACAGAAAGAATAAATTGCCTAGGAATATGTATAGGTAAAAAATATATAGGTAAAAGATCTCTACTAGGAAAATTGCAAAACACTACTGAAAGAGATTATAGATGACACAAACAAATGCAAAAATATCCCATACTCATGGGTTGGAAGCATCAACATAGTTAAAATAGCCATACTGCCCTAAGCAATATACAAATGCAATGTTATTTCTACCAAACTACCAATGTTTATTTTACAGAATTAGAAAAAAATATTCTAAAGTACATGTGGAACCAAAAAACAGCCCAATAGCCACAGCAATTCTAAGTGAAAAGAATAAAGCCAGAGGAATCGCATTACCCAATTTCAAACTATACTACAAGGCTACAGTAACCATAACAGCATGGTTCTTGTACAAAAACAGATACATAGACCAAGGGAATAGAATAGAAAACACATAAAAGCCACACACCTACAACCAACTGATCTTCAACAAAGTTGACAAAAATAAGCAACAAAGAAAAGACTCCCTGTTCAATAAATGGTGCTGGGATAACTGGCAAGTCAATAAATGGTGCTGGGATAACAGCAGAATGAAATTGGACCCTTACATATCACCTTGTACAAAAATCAACATGAGATGCATTAAAGACTTAAATGTAAGACCTGAACTATAAAAATCCTAGAAGAAAACTTAGGAAATACCCTTCTCAACATCAGCCTTGGCAAATAATTTATTACTAAACCTACAAAAGCATTTGCAGCAAGGACAGAAATTGACAAGTGGGACCTAATTAAACTAAAGAGCTCTGCACAGCAAGAGAAACTACCAAGAGAGTAAACAGACAACCTGTAGAATGGGAAAAATTATTTGCAATCTATGCATCCAAAAAAGGTGTCATTTCCAGGATTTATAATGAACAAATCAATTTAAAAAACCAACCCCATTCAAAAGTGGGCAAAGGACATCAACAGGCACTTCTCAAAAGATGACATACAGTGGTCAACAAACATATGAAGAAAGGCTCATAATCATCACTAATCATCAGAGAAATACTAATCAAAACCACAATCGCACACCATCTCACACCAATCAGAATGGCTTTTGTTAAAAAGTCAAAAAATAACAAATGTTTGTGAGGCTGCAGCGAAAAGGGACCACTTACAAACTGTTGGTGGAAATATAGATTAGTATAGTCACTGTGGAAAGCAGTTTGGAGATTTCTCAAAGAAATGAGTGTTGAACTACTATTTGACCCAGCAGTGCCACTACTGGATATATACCCAGAGGAAAATAAATCATTCTACCAAAAAGACACATGGAGCCATATGGTCATTGCAGTGCTATTCACAATAGCAAAGACATTAATCAACCCAGGTGCCCACTAATTGTGGATTGGATAAAAAATATGTGATACATATACATCATGGAATACTATGCAGCCATAAAAAAGAAACAAATCTGATCCCTTGCAGCAACATGGATGTATCTGGAAACCATTATACTAAACAAATGAATGTAGAAACAGAAAACCAAATACCACATGCTCTCGCTTATAAGTGGGGGCTAAACATTGGGTTGTGCATATTTTTATGCACCACCACTGTTCCTACAAATAGGAACCGTAGACACTGGGGAATACAATAGGGGAAGGGAGGGGTTAAGAGTTGAAAAAAACTACCTATTGGGTACTATGCTCGCTACTTTGGTCCACAAATTCATTCATACTCCAAACCTCAGCATCATGCAATATAGCTTTGTAATAAAACTGCACATGAACTCCCTGATTCTAAAATAAGGGTTGAAAAAAAAAATGAGCCACTATAAACAGTATGGTGCCAAAGGAAGGCAGTAAAAAAGAAGGCAGGTGGACACTGTATTAGACAGGTTCTTTAGAGAGACAGAATAGGAGACATAATATATATTTATATATATATATATATTTCATATAATTATAATATATAATTATATGCAATATAGAAGTTATATATTACATGTATTATACATTATTTATAATATGTATAACATATACAATTATATTATATATTATACAGAATTATGTAATATATATTATATATTATACAGAATTATGTAATATATATTATATATTATACAGAATTATGTAATATATATTATATATTATACAGAATTATGTAATATATATTATATATTATACAGAATTATGTAATATATATTATATATTATACAGAATTATGTAATATATATTATATATTATACAGAATTATGTAATATATATTATATATTATACAGAATTATGTAATATATATTATATATTATACAGAATTATGTAATATATATTATATATTATACAGAATTATGTAATATATATTATATATTATACAGAATTATGTAATATATATTATATATTATACAGAATTATATAATATATATTATATATTATACAGAATTATATAATATATATTATATATTATACAGAATTATATAATATATATTATATATTATACAGAATTATATAATATATATTATATATTATACAGAATTATATAATATATATTATATATTATACAGAATTATATAATATATATTATATATATAACTTCTGTATTTTATTATATAATATATGTAACTTTTGTATTCCAGACACACTCCTTCTGATCTCTGTCATAGAATAATAGTCTAATTTTCTCTTGGTAGTCCAGATCACTGTCCCCAACCAACGCTGTAACTCCCTTCTTAGACTGTTGAATCAGAGGCTTGGGGGACAAAAAGTGTACACGTGGCAGTCTTAACTTCCAATTTATTGGAATCATTTTTGTGTCTCCTGGTGGGAGTATTCCTTCCTCTGGAACTATTACTTCTAGGCCAGCAGAGCACAAAGTCATGGGAACAAGAAAAAAAAATTTTGCTATGGTGTCACTAGGAGTAATAGTGAGTGATGCCACTTGCATTTCTTTCCACTCCTTGATTCTTGGACCCGTGAATTTTGACTATGGAAAAAAAATAGTACCACATCTTGCATTCTAATGCAAAGCACATACAACCTTCTGAGCACCTTGTCCCAGCCTTACAAGGTGCTATTACCTATCTGGTGCTGTAACTGTGTCTTCAAAAGGCCATTTCACCCTTCTGTCAAGCCAGCTGCTTCAGGATGGCGGGGTACGTGGTAAAACCAGTGAATTCCTTCAGCATGAGCCAATTGCTGCACTTCTTTGGCTGACATGATTAGAACCAATACCAACTGGAATACCATGATGGTGAATAAGGCATTCTGTAAGTCTACAGATAGTATTTTAGGCAGAAACACTGCATGCAAGAAAAGCAAATTCATATCCAGAGTAAGCATCTATTCCAGTAAGGATGAAATGCTGCTTTTCCATGATGGAAGCAGGCCAATAACCTGACACCTGGTGGCTGGATGATCACCCTCAGGAAAGGTGCCATAAGGCCAAATGGTTCACAGGCCAAGGAACCTGGAGTTTTGATGTACAAGAGCAGGAGAAGAAGGGCATCCCACACATTTTGTTCCAGCTGGGCCCCAGCCAATTAGATGGTGCCTCCCCACATTGACAGTAAATCTTCCCCACTCAGTTCACTAATGCATACACAACTCCCCCCTGGAAATATCCTTTCAGACAATCCAGAACAATGGTTTGCCAGCCATCCAGGCATCCTTCCTTCAACCCAGTCATATTTGCATCTATAATTAACCATTACAGACACCAAACCCACATTTCATCAAGCTGACTTTATCCTCCTATTCTCAATGGACTTCAGCAATGTGACTCAGGTTCCTCACAGAACAACTGCCAAGACTTTGATGTGTTCTTCTCAAAAATGCAGCAATTTATATTCACTCTGCCACACTCATTTCCTATTCATTTTTACCTTGGGTGCTCTTGCAGTTGATAGAAAATATGGAAACTACACAGACCATTTGCCACCACTTGAAAGGCTACATGGTACAATGACAGTAGAGAATGTTTGGAATTCTGGGGCATTAGTAAACTCTCTGAAGTGAATACTGTGGGAGTCTTAAAACTTCTGTTCCTTTCACTCTTCAGCAAGATGTTGGCTGAGAAGCAGTTCCTCAGTTATTCCCTCCATAAATCTAGGGCAGTTGGCTCAGCCTGTGACAATGAATAACGCATCTAGATCTAGGAATTAAACCCTATAGTTCTACAGAAATCAAGCAAGATATCATTAACCAGAATTTTGTCACTACCTCACTTACTATGTCCTTTATATGTGTAGTGTGAGAGCAGTGCTCTGGATAACTTTTAGAGAAAACAAAGGATGTCCTGATAAAGTGGGGAGAAAAGCCAAAAAAAAAGATTTAAAAAGGCAAACTCAAGCCACTGTTTCCTCTGGTTGTATATAAACACATGGAGCAGAACTGAGACATCGCAGGCTTAAGTCTTCATGAATGCTTTACAGTTTAGAGACTAAAATTGGAAAAAAAAATAGAAGCTATGGAGTCTTGTATCAAATATATTTATTATCTCTCAACTTCAAGGATCTTTAAGATTGACAACAATTTACTAGTTACGTATACTCACAGTTAAAAGGAGGAAAGTACCGTAAGCTACATGGGCCCACACAGATATTGCACCTGGAAGCAGAGAAAGCAAGCAGGGGGTGTCAGGGGAAGGCTTTGCAGGATCAAGAAAGTGAGATGCTCTTTGATTCCCACAGTAGGGTGTTATTGGTTTGTCTGAATAATCCTATGAACAGGAAGAGAACTGAAACACATTATACTACCAACTGTTAAGACTACAATAATACACTATGGTATTATAATGCTGTACTATATACTATAATACTAACTACAGTACATTCTCACTTAATGTTGTCAACAGGTTCTTAGAAACTGTGACTTTAAGTGACACAATATGCTATATAATGAAATCAATGTTATCCTACACAAATTGATATAAATTCAAGTCAAGTTTCTTTGACATACTATACGTTGTTTTGCTTAAAGTCACGATTTCCAAGAACCTGTTAAGGATGTTAAGTACATGTATTTTAGTGATATGTAATATGAACTATATACACACACTATTATTTCTGTACAAAACTGTACTTTGTGTACATATTACATTCATGTATCACATAACAACCTTTCGGTCAATGACAGACTGCATATATGATAGTATAGTCTAAATGTGTAATAGACTCCACCATCTAGATTTGTGCGATCACTATATACTAGCTAAATACATGTTATACACTCTACTAGGGAATAGGAATCTCTCTGAATATGATGCAAAAAGCATTAAAAAAATACTAACAAACTGAATCTATCCATAAATAAAAAAAACTTGTACTTCATTACCAAGAGAGATTTAACCCATACAAGCAATGCTGCTTTTACATCTGAAAGACAATATAATACACCATATAAATAAAATAAAGGTCAAAACCCACATGATTTTCCCAATAGATTCAGAAAAACTACTTGAAAAAGTTCAACACTCCTTAATAATGAAACATTCAATAAATAGTGAACAGAATAGAATTTTCTCAACCTGCTTTAAGGCATTTTTTAAAAACACACAGCTAATTTCATATATGGTGACCACTGGGATGCTTGCATCACCACACTCCAGTTCCAGCTGGCTCAGCAGAGAGATTGACCATTTGTCTGGGATAAAATAAGGAAAGAGAACAAGATTCTTTTTTCTGGGTAATGCAGATAATTATCTGTGATCTTATCTAAGACCCCCGAGGTGGTATCTCTCTGAGACTGCAAAAACTACAGTATTATTGGGATTGGCATCCAAGTCCCTTCAAATACCTGGAAAGTTTTCTCAAGAAGGACAGGCACAAACAAGCCCAGACTGCAAAGACTGCAATATCAAACTCTTCAATGCTCAGAAACCAGTGAACATCTACAAGTATGAAAATAATCCAGAAAAACATGACTTCACCAAACAAACTAAATAAGATACCATGGACCAATCCTAGAGAAATAAAGATGTATGACCTTTCAGACAGAGAATTCAAAACAGCTGTTTAGAGGAAACTCAAAGAAATTCAAGATAACAGAGAAGGTATTCAGAATTCTAACAGATAAATTTAATGAAGAGGTTGAAATAATTAAAAATAAACAAGTAAAATTCTAGAGTTGAAAAATGTAGTTGACATATTCAAGAATGCATCAGAGTCTCTTAATCAAGGAAAGAAAGAATTAGTGAGTTTAAAAATGGGCTACTTGAAAATACACAGAGGAGACAAAAGAAAAAAGAATAAAAACAATGAAGCATGCCTACAAGATCTAGAAAATAGCCTGAAAAGGGCAAATTTAAGAGTTATTGGCCTTATGGAGAATGAAGTAAAAGGGTAGGAGAGAAAAGTGTATTCAAAGAAATAATGTCAGAAAATTTCCCAAACTTTCCAGATGAGAACACATGGACATAGGGAGAGGAATATCACACACAGTGGCCTGTTGGGAGTGGAGGGCAAGGGGAGGGAGAGCATTAGGACAAATACCTAATGCAAGCAGGGTTTAAAATCTAGATGATGTGTTGGTAGGTGCAGCAAACCACAATGGCACATGTATACCTATGTGACAAATCTACACATTCTACATATGTATCCCAGAATTTAAAGTAAAAGAAAGAAAAAAACCTGCACAGCATAAGAAAAATCAACAAAGTTAAGAGACAATCCACAGAAGGGCTGTATTAGTCCATTTCCACACTGTTGATAAAGACATACCCAAGACTGGATAATTTATAAAGAAAAAGAGGTTTAATGGACTCACAGTTCCATGTGTCTGGGGAGGCTTCACAATCATGGTGGAAGGTGAAAGGCATGTATTACATGATGGCAGACAAGACAGAATAAGAGTCAAGGAAAAGGGGTTTTCCCTCATAAAACCAAAGGATTTCATGAGACTTATCATTACATTATGGGAAAACTGCTCCAGTGATTCAATTATCTCCCACCAGGTCCCTCCCACAACACATGGGAAATATAAAAGTTACAATTCAAGATGAGATTTGGGTGGGCAGAGCCAAACCATATCATTCCACCCCCGCCCCACTCCCCCTGCCACCAAATCTCATGTCCTCACATTTCAAAACCAATCATGCCTTCTCCAAAGTCTTTTTTTTTTTTTTTTTTTTTTTTTTTTGGTGAGACAGAGTCTCACACTATTGCCCAGACTGGAGTGCAGTGGTGCAATCTTGGATCACTGTAACCTCTGCCTCCTGGGCTCAAGTGATTCTCCTGCCTCAAACTCCCGAGTAGCTGGGATTACAGGCATGTATCACCATGCCCAGCTAATCTTTTTGTATTTTTAGTAGAGACGAGGTTTTACCATGTTGGACAGGCTGGTCTCAAACTCCTAATCTCAAATGATCAACCCACCTTGGCCTCCCAAAGTACTGGGATTACAGGCATGAGCCACTGTACCCAGCCCCCCAAAGTTTTAACTCATTTCAGCATTAACTCAAAAGTCCACAGTCCAAAGTCTCATTCAAGACAAGGTAAGTCCCTTCTGCCTGTGAGCGTGTAAAACCAAAAGCAGGTTAGCTACTTCCTAGATACAGTGGGGGGTATAGGCATTGTTTAAATACATCCATTCCAAATAGAAAAAAAATGGCCAAAATGAAGGAGCTAAAGACCCCATGCAAGTCCAAAATCCAGCAGGTCAGTCAAATCTTAAAGCTCCAAAATAATTTCTTTTGACTCATCTCTAACGTCCAGGTCATACCAAAGCAAGAGGTAGGTTTGCATAATTTTGGACAGCTCCACCCCTGTGGCAAGGTACAGCCTCCCTCCTGGCTGCCCGCACGGGCTGGCATTGAGTGTTTGCAACTTCTCCCAGTGCAGAGTGCAAGCTGTCAGTGGGAATACCATTCTGGGATGCGGAGGATGGTAGCCCTCTTCTCACAGCTCCACTAGGCAGTGCCCCAGTGGGGACCCTGTGGAGGGGCTTCAACCCCACATTTCCGTTCCTCACTGCCCTAGCATAAGTTCTCCATGAGGGCCCCACCCCTGGAGCAAACTTCTGCCTGAACACCCAGGCATTTCCATACATCCTCTGAAATCTACACAAAGGTTCTGAAACCTTGATTCTTGACTTCTGTGCACCTGCAGGCTCAACACCACATGGAAGCTGACAAGGTATGAGACTTGAGCTCTCTGAAGCCACAGCTGGAGCTGTACCTTGGCCCCTTTTAGCCATGGCTGGAGTGGCTGGGACTCAGGACACCAAGTTCCTAGGCTGCACACAGCAAGGGGCCGTGGGCCTGGCCTAGAAAATACAGTTGACTTGAATTTTTCCTCAGAAAATGGGTTTCCCTTTATCACATCATCAGGTTGCAAATTTTCCAAACTTTTATGCTGTTTTCCTTTTAAAACCCAATGCTTTTAACAGCATGCAAGTCACCTCTTTAATGCTTTGCTGCTTAATAATTTCTTCCACTAGATACCCTAAATCATCTCCCTCAAGTTCAAAGTTCCATGAATCTCTAGGACAGGAGCAAAATGCTGCCAGTCTCTTTGCTAAAACATAGCAAGAGTCCCCTTTACTCCAGTTCCCAACAAGTTCCTCATCTCCATTGGAGACCACCTCAAATTTGGATTTCATTGTCCATATCATTATCAGCATTTTGGTCAAAGTAATTCAATGAGTCTCTAGAACATTTCAGTCTTTCCCACATTTTCCTGTCTTCTTCTGAGCCCTCCAAACTGCTCCAACCTCTGCCTGTTACCCAGTTCCAGTCTCTTCCACATTTTTGGGTATCTTTACAGCAGCACCCCACTCTACTGATACTGATTACTGTATTAGTCTATTTTCACACTGTTGATAAAGATATATCTGAGACTGGGTAATTCATAAAGAATAAGAAGTTTAATGAACTCACAGTTCCACATGGCTGGGGAAGCCTCACAATCATGGTGGAAAGCGAAAGGCACATCTTACATGGCAGCAGACGAGAGAATGAGAGCCAAGAGAAAGGGGCTTCCCCCTATAAAACTATCAGGTCTTGTGAGATTTATTCACTACCATGAGAACAGTATGGGAAAAAACACTTCCATGATTCAATTATCTCCCACTGGGTCCCTCCCACAACAGGTGGGAATTGTGGGAGCTACAATTCAAGATGAGATTTGGGTGGGGTCACAGACAAACCATATCAATGGGATAGCATATTTGCAAACTACCCATCTGACAAGGGATTAATAACCAGAATATATAAGGAGCTCAAATAACTCTATAGAAAAAAAATCTAATAATCCAATTTAAAAATGGGCAGAAGATTTGAATAGACACTTCTCTAAAGAAGACATACACATGGAAAATAGGTGCTGAACGTCACTGATCATCAGAGAAATGCAAATCAAAACCACAATTAATATCATCTCACCCTAGTGAAAATGGCTTTTATCCAAAAATCAGGCAATAACAAATGCTGGGAGGATGTGGAAAAAAGGGAACTCTCATTCACTGTTGGTGGGAATGTAAATTAGCACGACCACTATCAAGAACAGTTTGAAGGTTCCTCAAAAAACTAAAAATTGAGCTGCCATATGATCCAGCAATCCCACTGCTGGGTATATACCCAAAAGAAAGGAAATCAGTATATTGAATCAATATCTGCACCTCATGTTTGTTGCAGCACTGTTCACAGTAGACAAGATTTGGAAGCAACCTAAGTGTCCAACAACAGATGAATAGTAAGGAAAATGTGGTACTGTTCAGCCATAAAAGAGAATGAGGTCCTATCATTTGCAACAACATGGATGGAAATGGAGGTCATTGTGTTAAGTAAAATAAGCCAGGCACAGAAAGAAAAACATTGCATGTTCCCACTTATTTTTGGGATCTAGAAGTCAAAACAATTGAACTCATGGAGACAGAGAGTAAAAGGATGGTTACCAGAGGATGGGAAGGGTAGTGGGGCTCTGGGGAGGGAGGTGAGAATGGTAAATGGGTACAACAAAAAATAGAACTAATGAATAAGACCTATTATTTGAGAGCTTAGTAGGGTAATTATAATCAAAATAATTTAATTATTCATTTTAAAATAACTAAAAATTATAATTGCATTATTTGCAATATGAAGGATAAATGTTCCACTTTCCATGGTGTGATTATTATGCATTGCATGCCTATATCAGACTATCTCATGTACCCCATAAATATACATACCTACTATATACCCACAAAAGTTAAAAATTAAAAATTTTAAAAAAGTGAGTCATGGACAAAACACCTTATAAGTCATGTAATATTTTATTCATGTTGTGAATTTTCACAAGCATTATACAATAATTATTTTGCACCAGGCTTTCCATATTACGTGTAGGATTTCTTTCCAGTAGAAGTTTCACGTGACTTTTAAAGTAATTGTTAAAAGTGATAACTTTTCTGTACTTTTTTTTTTTTTTTTTTTTTGAGATGGAGTCTCACTCTGTCGCCCAGGCTGGAGTGCGGTTATGCAATCTTGGCTCACTGCAAGCTCCACCTCCCGGGTTCACGCCATTTTTCTGTATTTTTTATACTACTAGTACTTTAATCCAGTATGCATTCTTATATTTATAAAATTTTCTTCAGTGTCTATTACCATGTTTCTTTGCATACATATGAGAAATGAAAACATTCCCACATTCCATACATTCATAGTTTTTCTCCAGAATAAGTTATGCCATGAAGTGAAAATGGAACAACTAAAGGCCTCATCATGCTTCTTACATTCATAAGGCTTTTCTTCCACATGAGCTCTTCCATGTTTTCAAAAAGAACTGGGAAAACTGAAGGCCAAACCACATTTCTTACATTCATAGGGTTTTTCTCCAATGTGATTCTATTCAATTCTTTTGACCTCAAGAGTCTTTGAATGGAAAAGGACACCAGATCATTTGATCCTTTTTTTACAGTTGAGACTAACAAACCTCAGATAGTAAAGTGGCTAGTCAATGATGGGTAGCACAGATTTTCCTACATCTTCTGCCACTGTGTCACAAGGTAAGTGGCCAGTAGATTGATGACTTCAGAGAAGTCAAAAGAGAGATGTATGACATGAGAAAAACAAAATTTGAACTGGCTATTGGATATAGGGTCACTAATATAGAATTGTTTTTTTTTTTTACAGAGAGAATGTTGAAAAGAATATTCAATTTTGTTTGAAAAGCTGTAGAGTACTTTAGGGCACTAGTGAGTTACTCAGTATCATCTGTTTTCATTTTTGACAACACAATTTTTACAGTAAAGATTTCAATGTAATCACCAAATAATAGGATCCATCTATGTGACAGCATCATATATTTGGTCAATTTTTATCCTGCCAGCATGTGGAGGGGCCACAGACATGTCCCAGGTCATAATGAGGGTTAGTGGCAGATCTCAAATGAACAGTAGTAACAAACATATACAGAAGTGAAACTTTGCCTGAAACAGAACCTGCTAAGATATATGTGAAAAGGACCAAGATAACTATGGCGGGGAGAGGGTGAGAGGATAATCTCCAAGGGGCTAGGACTAATTCATCCCTGTGATCTCTCTTGTGCCTACCCTGGTGCTTAGCCCGAAGTAGACACACAGAAACGTCATTTTTTCATTGACTTGAATCTGATCAACTAAAATCAGGAGTTGTTTTCTGATGGCTCTGCTGCAGCTGTGAAGAAATAAAAGCAGGGAATTCCAACAGAAATTATTATGTAGTGCTTACATAGTAATCCCAGAAAACCCATTATGACTTTCAAAGGCATAATAACCCAATAAATTTTCCAGAAGAAACAAGAATAAAAATGAGGATAATGTAGCTAGAACTTATGTAATTGTA